>NC_000008.11:31981314-32284345 GCF_000001405.40 Homo sapiens | reverse complement strand
AGAGTCAAAGAGCAGAGTGTGGGGTCAGTGGATGGAAAATTACTAGGAGGAGACATGAAGGGTAGGAGATTTCTACTCAAGGCAGGTCAAGGGCTTATACATTACAGGTGGGGATTGAGGAAATTGATCAGATATAAAAGGTGGGGTATTCTCTCTAAACTGACTTTGCAAGATTCTTGCTAAAACCAGACTCCACAAGGACTGACACAGAAGCCCAAGGTTGAAGCCTAGTCAAGGAGAGAGCTCAGAGAAGCTTAACTAAAGGCTGATCAAGAGAGTCTTTGTTAACATAAAGTGGCCCAAGAGACTCTCCAGAACTAGTACCTTTATGTCAAACTGAAACTCTTAAGCACCAGGTCCTCCACACATCCTTTATCAAACAAGAACAGAAGAGAAAAATTTGGGGGATCTCCTAGCCCCCAAGAAGACAAGACACAGATATTCTGTGATGGAATTTTTTCTAAGCATCCAATGGGAAACCCTGGTGGATGCATCATCAACAGAGCCTGATTAATTTCAGCTCAGGCCATTCCAAAAAGTAGAATGAAATGCCAGGTAACTGGAAAGTCAACACCTTGCAGGTGAGAAACTCTAATGGAGAAATTCTAATAGAAAAAAAATTATCTTGCTGTTTCTCTACCCCCTATTAGAGAAACTCTAATAGAAACCCTAAAAGAGAAACTCTAATAGAAGAAAAATTATCTTGATGTTCCTCTACCTCTTAATCTGACATGGCCCTTCTTTCTTTCAAAACCCTCTTCATCTTCTGATGTTTTGTACTACCTTTGATGGCTAACAGAGTTGAGCCCCAAATATATTTTACTATATAGTTGGGTTTCATTGCGTTCTAACTTTGGGATAACTCCTACCCGTGTTCCCCTTTAAACAAACAAAACACTTACTTGACCTTTACCCTAATGAACTGGATACTACCTTGCCCCAGGTGACAAGTGGTGTGATAGACTAATCCTCTTGATGTTAACTAGCTTATATGTTAGAAGTCATATCAGTAATGCATAAATCTCAGTAGAAAAAATTTGGGAGAAACTTGTCTCCTAAAGGTTTTCAGAAAAGCTGAGCAAATGAAAAAGAAAAAAAGAGCCTAAACATCTTTAAATATCATCAATTATCAAAGCAATGAAAATTCAAACAACAAAATGATATTTTACTATATTAACCAAGAAGATAATCCTGAATGCTAATAAAGATGTAGTATGGCACACTAGAAATTGGAATAACAATTTGGAATTAAGTGCCAGGAAACTTAGAAATTCACATGCCCTTTAGCTTGGTATTTCTTCTAAGGACTCAATTCTAAGATTTCAGAAAAAAGAACAGAAATTGGTATTATATGTCTTTGATACATTATTTATGATCAAAACCACATATATATACTACAAAACATGTACATCTAAGCAACACCAAATGCCTTTTAGTTTTCTTTTTTAACCTGTCTTCTATTTTCCCCTTTTCTAAAACAATGGATACACTTTTTTTACAAGTATGAATGAGAATAAATTATTCTTATATAGGAATTAAAGTTCTTAAATAAGTAGGAATTATGATTCCTTTAAAAATCATAAAACCAAATAAAGTCTTTAAATCTATTAAAGGCCAGGTGGGTCAGATCTTTAAGGGTTAAGCAACCTGTTGAAGATTCTTAAATCCCAGGTTATGAGACAAAACATTTTTACCCAAATAATGGAAAGAAGACCTTGAATGTGAAAGCTGCTCTCACTGCTTGGTGAGGCTGATGAGAACAGCGGCTCTGAATGGGGCACATACCCTCCTGCCTCCCACCTCTCATTGGAAGCAATTAGAGAAAATTAGCTCTCTCTGAACCAGGAAGCTGATGGCACGCTTTGCAGGCAGGAGCCACAGCTGGACAGAGAGCATGCTGAACCACTCATGGAAGGCGGACAGTAAATCTGGCCTAATGAAGGGTGCATACACCCCTTCTGTTGGCTGTCAGCCATTCAACTAGAGGAGTCTGGATTTGAGAGGGAAATGATATACCCTTCATATTCAGAGTGGAAGGTCCTACGTAAAATGTCTTCTCTTGAAACAGAGAGAGAGGGGATGGAGAGAGAGACCTATTGTCCAGCCAGGGAAGCGCCTGTGCATTGTGGGTGATACTTTGTCCACCAAAGGCACAAATGCACCACCTGTGTTTGTGGTGCCCTGTGTCCAGCTGTGCAAACTCCACTCTCAAACTTTTCAAAGCTTTTTACATTCCTATACCCTTGATCTCCACACTGTCAAGTTAGAAGTTGTACCATCAAATTCATAGCCCACCAGACTCTGTGAGCGGTGTAAGTTTTCAGAAAGGCAGTTGTTTTTCTTGACTTGAAGCTTAAAGCCTCAGAATGTCCTTGACCAATTCTCATATACATTCTTTTACTGTGTATCTGAAATTGATGAGTTAAACACTTCGTTGTTGTGTTTATATGTACTCCTCTTCAACCAATTTTGTATTATGGTAAAATACATACAGCATAAAATTTATCATCTGAAATATTTTTTAAAAGAGATGGGGGGGGTCTCACTATGTTGCCCAGGCTGGCTTTGAACTCCTGGGCTCAAGTGATCCTCCTGCCTCAGTGTCCTGAGTAGCTGGTACTACAGATGCATACCACCTCACTTAGCTCATCTTAACCTTTTTTAATTGCTCAACATAGATGCAGCTGGAGGGGCCATGTCTAAACGAATTAATGCAAGAACAGAGAACCAAATACTGCATGTTCTCACTTAATAAGTGGGAGCTAAACACTAAGTACACATGGGGACAAAGAAGGGAACAATAGACACTGTTGGGGGGAGGCTACTTGAGGTTGGAGGTTGGGAGGAGGATGAGGAAGAAAAACTACCAGCCGGGTGCCATGGCTCGTGGCTGTAATCCAAGTACTTTGGGAGGCTGAGGCAGGCAGATCACCTGAGGTCAGGAGTTCGAGACCAGCCTGGCCAACATGGTGAAACCCCATCTCTACTAAAAATACAAAAATTATGGGGGCCTGGTGGCAGGTGCCTGTCATCCCAACTACTCAGGAGGCTGAGGCAGGGGGAATCGCTTGAACTCAGGAGCGGAGGTTGCAGTGAGCTGAGATCGCACCACTGCACCCCAGCCTGAGCGACAGAGCGAGATTCTGTCTCAAAAAAAAAAAGGAAAAACTACCTATTGGGTACTATGCTATGCTCACCACCTGGGTAACAAAATAATTTGTACACCAAACCCCAGTAACATGCAATTTACCCATGTAACAAACCTGCACATGTGCCATCTGAACGTAAAATAAAAGTTGAGGCTCATGCCTGTAATCCCAGCACTTTGGGAGGCCGAGGTGGGTGGATCACGAGGTCAGGAGATCGAGACCAACCTGGCTAACACGGTGAAACCCCGTCTCTACTAAAAATACAAAAAATTAGCTGAGCATCATGGTGGGCACCTGTAATCCCAGCTACTCGGGAGGCTGAGGCAGGAGAATAGCATGAACCCAGGAGGTGGAGGTTGCAGTGAGCCGAGATCATACCATGCACTCCAGCCTGGCAACAGAGCAAGACTCTGTCTCAAAAAAAAAAAAAAAAAAAAAAATGAAAGGACAAAATAAATAAAATGTGATTCATGGTTTATCTGAAAAAAAAAAAAAAAAAAAAAAACAAAAAAAAAACCTAATTCAGTTGCATGAAAGACACCCACAATGACATGTGAGCATCTGTATCCAGAATTTTTCACCACATACTGAAACCCCAAACACATTCAGCAATAACTACTCTCCCTCTACGGCCCCTGGGAATCTCCATTCTAGTTTCTCTCTCTATGAATTTGCCTATTCTAGGTACCTCATATAAAAGGAATCATACAATAATTGCCCTTTTGTGTGTGGCTTATTTCACTTAGCATAATGTTTTCAAATCGAACCAAATTTTTGGAGCAGTAAAGCCTGTAAGCTGATAAGCATCAGGTAAAGCAATTCCTACTTATTTCCAGTTTCTTGACTTTTTTCAAAGATCTCATTTAATTAGTGATTCCTTCTGAACAGCCAGAGTCATATGAAGTGGAAAAACTCCTTTAGAAAGTGTGCGTGCGTATTCCCTGCCAAGGGAAGTCAAACGGAATTTAGATAACCACTTGGTGGGGATATTGCAGAAGTTTGAATTTATCGAGCTTCACACTTACATTCTATTCTAAAACTCTGTAACTTGTACAGACAAATGCTCTTGTTTGTTCATTCATTTATTATTCATACAGGAATTTATCAGCATTTACTGAGCACCTACTGCATGTAAATGATAGAGGTTGATGGAAAGTAATGACTGATGATATTGACTTGGTTCCTAGCCTCCGTAGTGAAGTCAGAAGTCTGGGCACTGTCCTAACAGACTGCTTTTGTTTTCAATAAGCTGGCTCTGGCTAGCAGAATCAAGGAGGACTGCCAGCTACCTACGTGCCTGAGTGGAGACTTGGCCTTCCAGTGGAGAGTTCCTTAATTGTGTTACCCTACACATCAGTCAGAAAACCATAGCAGACTCAGACCTAACAGACGCAGGTAATGGAGAGTGCCTGCTGGAAACTAGTGTTACCTAGAATATCACCTAGAAAGATCACAGCCTTTTCCAATTCAAATAAAATCCAAATTATACCTCTACCACTTACTAACATTGTGATATTGGGCAAGTCACTTAAACTTTCTGAGCCTTGGCCGGGCGTGGTGGCTCACGCCTGTAATCCCAGCACTTTCGGAGGCCAAGGTGGGTGGATCATGAGATCAGGAGATCGAGACCATTCTGGCCAACATAGTGAAACCCCATCTCTACTAAAAATATAAAAATCAGCTGGATGTGGTGGCACGTGCCTGTAATCCCAGCTACTTGGGAGGCTGAGGCAGGAGAATTGCTTGAACCAGAGAGTCTGAGGTTGCAGTGAGCTGAGATCACACCACTGCACTCCAGCCTGGCGACAGAGTGAGACTCCGTCTCAAAAACAAAACAAAACAAAAAAACAACTTTTTGAGCCTCAGTGTCCTTGTCAGTAAAATGGGAATAAGAAATACCCATGCCACAGGACTCTTGCAGGAATTAAATTAGTTAGTACATGAAAAGCAGCTTGCACTCGGTATGGCACATAAAGGCACTAGGAAAATGCCAGGATCTCCTTCAGGGTTTTTTCAAGAATGTTTATCATCACAACATAAACGCCAGCTCTGCGGTAGGCCAGCCCTCAAGTAGCAGCGTCTCTGGGGCTTCTCTAGTATTGCTGGCTGCGTATAGGGAGAATCTGATTCAGAGAGATCATTGTGTTAGTTTAAGGGAGAGAATTTCCCTTTATTCATCAACATAATAAATCCTGAAAGTCATCAGACCTGGTTAAATCCAAGGCAAACACAGTCTCTTATGAATCAGGAATAAGATCTGTATATTTCTCTGGCTGGAGTTCATAACAGAGCAGAGATCAGGATATGTGAGTTGCAGGACAATAGACGTCAGCTGCCACCTGCACAGTGGTGGGTGGCTGGGGACATGCCCATCTTTAGAGGGACTCATCTATTCCCAGAAAGCAGGATGGGTCTTGGCAAACCACAGAGGGCAATTGTTGCCTGGGCAGAGTCTACCCAGAGTGATGAGTATCATGGAAAGGAGGAAGGGAGGCAGAGTGTCCTAGGGAAGGTAAGAGGGAATCTGAGTGGTCTGTGGTGATGTGTCCATACATAGGACTCTTCCTGACCAAAGGCAAAGGGTAGATCTCATCTAATGGGCAGAGCTGCAAATACTGTCAAGCTTTCTGAGGATAGCGAGATTTGGGTTAGAAACCCAAGAATTGAAATTCCTACTCTAATTAGGAATGATGACCTCATGACTATGTCCAGAACCACTCTGGTTCCAAAAGTGTGAATGGGCAGGGGATGCAATTTTGGTTCCTAATTTTAGTTGTTTCAGTTGAGGCCTGAGTTGGGTTTTAAATAACACATGAACAAAAGCTAAGACTTTTATCCTTTTTTTGAAGATTGGGGTTTCTCAACTTTTTTTCCCCCCAAATTGCTCTATTTTTCACTTACTTATTCTGTTGCTTTTACTAACAATTTAGTAGTCAGTCAGTTTCTCATTTCTGAGCCATTTCTGTGTTCTGTGTATCAGAACGTTTTCTTCCCATATCACTACAATGAGGAAAGATCATTAATTCATTATTTTCAATGATTTAATGCCATGATATATTAATCCAGGATCTCTGAGAAACAGATTCTAAATGAGATTAAATGTGCAAGAATTTTATAGGAAAAATGTCCTGAGAGAAAAGTGGGAGTGAGCTGGAAATGTCTGAGGCTACTGTGCTGCATAAGAAAGGTTTGGCACGGATGTTGGAGAATCCAGGAGCCAAAGCTGGCCTTCAGAGTAATCCCCTTCATTGGAGCAGCCTGTGGGAAGCATGGCTCAGTGCAAACTGTGAAGGATTTCAAAGCATGGCTGTGGGGATCTTTGGTGAATTTTATTTTCTGTAGCTGAAGGCCTTGTGGTCACCAGAAGGCCAGGGTTTCTCAAATGTGGCACTACTGACATTTTGGAATGAACGATCCTCTGTTATGGAAGGCCCTCCCAGGTATGCAGAATGCTTAACCATCCCCGGCCTCTGCCAACTGCATACCAGTAGCATCCCCCAACTCCCGATAGTTAAAAATGTCACCAGATATTGTTAAATATCCCTTGATGGGGGGCAAAATCACCCCTGGTTAAGAACCATTAGATCAGTGAAATTTAAAGATATTTAGGAAGGTTTATCAAGAAAATTATAAAATCAGAGGGAAGGGAAAAATTTAAATATTTTGAAACATATATAATGATTGTTTAGGTAAAAAACTTAGCTAGGAAATTCAAAGTGAACAAGACTTTGTTTAGGTAAATAACTTAGCTAGGGAATTCAAGACTATCTCACTACAATGACAGGCTGCAGATTGGATGTTAATTTCTATGCCAAGTGAAGTTTCTTGTCCTGAGATGAACTTACAATAAAATATCTTTCCCTTATAAATTTTATTGTAAGATGAACTTACAATAAAATATTTCCCTAAATATAAGGACACCAAAATCATGTTTAAAAATATTAAATGAATTCCTTTTTAGTTTATTGTGTCATTTTGTAATGCGAGCTCAAGTTATGCTTACTTATTTGGGAGGTAGATAAAAACATTTCCTCTGCAATAGCATGCATACATTACAATGGCAGGAGGCAATGACTTCACGTTTAATGCAATAGTAATATGTGCATCATGGATAGAAATTAAATTCAGGAATGAGGCAGATGAGCTTCCTGGAATCACGCATATCAGATGTGATTTTCACCAACCATCAAAAGGCCTTTGACTTGCAGGCTTCTGCAAGGCCACAGGTAACAACCTTACTTATGTTTCCACGTGGGCAGCAGAGCTGATCCTCACATTCACTTGAAGTGGCATTCGTTGTGGCTGTCCCACCTGCAAGTACCTTAGATGCTGGCACTGAAGTATCTCACCCAGACTACTCCAGTTATCTCCCAGGAGGTCTCCTATTTCCTCCCTTGCCCTATTTTCACAGAGCAGCCAGAGGGGCTCCCTAAAAATGAGTCTGATCCTATTTCCCCACTATTTAAAAGCATCCAAAGCAGCCTCATCAACACAGGGAGAACCTTCCTCTACAAAAAATATAACATTGGCAGGGTGTGGTGGTGCATACCTGTAGTCCTAGCTACTCAGTAGGCTCAGGCAGAAGGTCATTTGTGCCCTGGGAGTGGAGGCTGCAGTGAATTATGATTGTGACATTGCACTCCAGCCTGGGGGACAGAATGAGATCCTGTCTCATAAAAAGAAAAGCCTCAAAAAATTTCCACTTCACTCATAGTAAAAGCAGAGTACCTTTAATCTAAGTGTCCATCAATAGATGGATGGATGAAGAAAATGTGGTACATATCCACAATGGAATACTATTCAGCTGTAAAAAAGAATGAAATTCTGCCATTTGCAGCAAACATGGATCAGCTTGAAGAACATCATGTTAACTAAAATAAGCCAGCCAGAGAAAGACAAATACCACATGTTCTTACTCATATGTAGAAGCTAAAATAAATTGAACTCAGAGAAACAGAGATAGACCTGTAGTCATTAGAGGCAGGGAGGGGTATGGGAGAGTGAAAGATGAAAAGAGTTTGGTTAATAGATACAAAGTTACAGCTAGATAGGGTGAATGAATTCTAGTGCTCTGTGGCACTGTAGGGTGAATATGGTTAACAATACTCTGGGGTATCTTTTCAGAAGGCTAGAAGAGAGGATTTTGAATGTTCACAACATGAAGAAATGATAAATGTTCACAGTGAAGGATATGCTAACTACCCTGATTTGATCATTACACACTGTATACATGCACTGAAATATCACTCTTATCCCATAAATATGTACAGTTGTTGCATACCAATTCAAATTAACAGGAAAGAAATAGCAGAATTTGTACTGTGGGCAAGAAGGCCTTCATCTCTGCTACTCAAAGCATGGTCTGGGGAACGGTAGAGGCAGGGGCATCATCTGGGGGCATGGTAGGAATGCAGACCCTGGGCCTGCCGCAGATCTTCTAAATCAAGGCCTGTGGTTTCACAAGATCCCTGGGGGATTTGCGCAGACACTGGAGTTTGAGAAACTCAGTCCTCCATAATTTGACGTACGGTTACTTCTCTAACCTCAACTCCCTCTACTCTCTCCTTGCTCACCCTCCTGTAGTTAATTGGGGCTCTTGTGGACACTCAACCTGCCAAGCATGTCCCAGTTCCAGGGATTTTGCTCTTTCATCCACTCTCTCCCTTCCTTCAGCTCCGTCTTAATGTCCTTTCACTGGAGAGGCTTCCCTGACCACTGTAGATAATGCACTTCTGAGCTGCCAACCCTGTCCTGTCCAGGTCACTCTCCATCTCTGTGTCCTGCCTTATTTTAATTCAGAGCACTCATCCCCACCTACCATGTTGCCTATCGCTGTATATTCTTACCGTCTGTCTCCAGGTTCATGAGAGCAAGCATTTTGTGTTATTTTGCTCACTGCTGAATGCGCAGACCCTGGAACAGTGCCTAACACAAAGTAGGTTGTTAGTAAATCACTGTTGACTGAATGGACAACTGAATTATGCAGTCCCATGCGACAAATTCCTTGGAGAGGAAGGAGGCTCCACAGGAACACAGAGGCGGGAGCTGTCCTGATCACCCGACAGTATCTTGGCTGCCTCTGTTCAATGTTGTGGGATGCTCTCTTCCAGGCTGCCTGGAAATGAACTGTGGCCAAATGCAAGCATCTGGCTGTGGGGTAGATTCTCTCCTCATTCACAGGATACGCCCAGACCAAGCAGAGGATTTGGGAAGAGAGCTCAAAGATGCTGCTCCCCTTCTGGTACATGGGAGGATCAAGCCATGCATTTAGTTTACATGAAGTTTTTTGAAGGGGAAAACAGCCAGACTTTCCAAAATGCATGGGATTTTTTTTTCCCAGAGAGACATTAATCTTTACTTCTTCTAAAAAGCAACCTGTTTATACATTTGTTGGAGGGTTTGCCTGGAAAAAAATTAAAATAGCAGAACTTGATTTGACACATCTGGAGCAGATGGGCATATTTTGTTTGGCTTCCTGTGGATGTTTAAATTGGGGTTAAAATAGGGAAGATGGTAAAACTGTCTGAAGACTCAGGTGGCTAGAAAAAGATGAGGATAGAATGTGAGAAATGGAGTACAGTCAGATGTAGCAGGCAGAATCATTACATATCTTTCACTTTCTTTCCCTGTAAAGTGTGTGTTGTAAATGTTAATGAAAAGAAAGGGAATGAAGTTCAAGGATTGAAGAAGCAAAAAAGGGATTAAAGAACAGTTCATGTGTAAAAACATTTTGCTCATATCAATTCCTGGGTCTCCTGAAGGCTAAACAGTGTGGTCTGGAGAAGCATTAGAAGAAAATCTTTTCTCCACCTATCCCGTACTTACCCTAAACTCAATTTTAATGAAACCTTTTCACACAAAGCATTGGTGTGTGGAGGACGAAGCCAGCCACAAGGGAAAGTTGCACGTGCATTGTTTTGAATGGAGAGTAGAGACAACAGCTGTGGAGGCTTTGGAGTTGCATGTAACATAACTGCACAAGGAGGGCAGGGTGTAGGATTCAGCAAGGTGCTCTTGCACTCTGCATGTATTTTTTAGTCACTGAAGCACCAAAGATGATTACAAAATGACCCAAAGTCACTGTCTTTTTTCAGATTTCTGGCTTAGGATTGATTTTCTTTTTCTTCTTTTTTTCCACCAGCCATGTGTTCAAATTGTAGGCATTTGGTGTTCCATTATAAGGAATGTTTGTGAAAAAGCACGTAAAGACATTAACTCCTCAGTTTTGCAGGAGCAATACTTAATTTTCATGCATAAAACTATCAATTATGACTATTAATTGTTCTATGGACAGGAGATGACTTTGGCTATAAAACATGATTACTTTTCAAGTGCTAGAAAAATAGCAATATAAACATGTTTAAAGTTACCAGTCAACACATCCAGCATATTTCTGTGAGTAACTTTAAATACATTACCTTTAAAGTTTCTTTCAAATTCCAAAATTATCACAAACTACTTAAAAAGAAATGCTCTCATGATTCCCAATTTAGAGGAAGTGTATGATTACAAATTTAAAATTTAAAATCAATTTATATCACATTTCAAGATGGTGCTTAAAAATGTGTCCAGTGACTCAACGGTACCACCTGATTCTTGAATTTCTCAAATGGTGCTTTAATTAAACACAGGCAGAACAAAAGCAACTATTCTCTGTAATCACATAGCAACACTTCTTATTTTAGGTTTTTTATCCCCTAAAATCATCTGCCTTTCAGTTCAAAAAAATTAAATAACTTTTATGGTAACAACAAATAAGAATAAACAAATCATGGTATAAATAAAATGTTACCTTTATGTCTCTCTTTGGAAGATATCCTGACATTTTTTTCCTTTTTGATTGTTTTTGTGCCAGAAAAAAATAACTGCAAGTGTTCCAAAAGTCGGGAGGGGGTTGGGAATCTAATAGCTTTCTAAATTGCTTCCAAAACTTTAAATGATGAGCTTTTGGACCAGAAAAGACTCAGAAAGAAAAACAAACCTAAATCTGCCCACAACCACAAAGCACATATGCAACTCATAGCAAAGAATGTGTGCATGAATATATGAGGTGGAATTTGGCCACAACCAGGCTGATAACACGCTTAATCAAATGGTTCTTCATTTGGCCTCTATGGATTTTCTCTTCTAACTTTGGCAAATTTATGGAGAAATGAATACAAATTCAGCCAACTAATTCTGGACTCTTATCAGAGAGTTCATTATTTTGTCAATCAAAAAACAACGCTCCAGCCCTCTGAACTTCAATAAATATGCTTCTTTTCAATTGGAAGTTTGCTTTCAACCTTCTTCTTCCCCTAAATAATTTGACAAAAGTCCCAATAGGTGTTTCTAGCTAAGATAAAGGAAACTCTGATTTATTTTACTGGGAACCACTCATATTTTGCTATGAATCTCTAAGATAATGGTTACTCTTTGAAACACAACCCAAAAGGTCTACTGACATTTTGATCAATAATGGATAGGCCCCTGGGACACAGAGGCTGGGTGAGTTATAGGTTGATTTATGTGAAGAACTCTCATCACCCCTTACTAGCCTCTTGCATCCAGCAACCCAGATTCCCTCTCAATGCCTGATCCAATGTTCTAAACTCAGTGTCCTCTCAGTTGTCTCCTGGCACCTGCCTCAAATGGAAATGTACATGTCTTTGCATCTCAGTGTCCTGTTTTCTGAGACTGGCAAGGCAACTGATTCTAACAATGATGTTACCAGCTAGAATTATGGATGGAACGTTTGTGTCCACCTCCCGCCCTTCTACCAATTCATGGGTTGAAGCCCTAACTCCCAATGTGTTGATATTTGGAGGTGGGGTCTTTGGGAAGTAATTAGGTTTAAATAAGCACATGAGGGTTGGGCCCCCATGATGGAATATAGCATCCTTATAAGAAGAGGAAGATGCCAGGGCTCACTCTGTCTCTCTGCCAAGTAAGGGAACAGGGAGAAGGCTGCCATCTGCAAGCCAAGAAGAAAGTTCTCACCAGAACCCTCGCCATGCAGGCTGGCACCCTGACCTTGGACTTCCAGCCTCCAGAATGGTGGGAAACAAATGTCTTTGTTTAAGCCTCAGTCTATGGTATTTTGAGCTGAATAAGATAGTCCCTATTCCAGAAAAAAGAAAAAGAAATTTAATATTAGAAACTTGAAAACACAATGTTCTAACCTGAGTGAGTAAATAAATGAATTAATTGTTGGTGTTTACTCACCAAGGTAGGCTGTTGGGGAAACACAGCCTATTCTATCAGCCCTTAAAATAAGGCCTCTGTCTGGACTGCCTCTGAGCCCCATTGGTTTTCTAGAAGCAGGCCATGCTGTGTGCACAGATCCTGTATTGAAGATGCATTCAGGGCCTTTTCTGACTCCTAGAGCTTGGGTTGGTTTCAGGATGTTTGCACGACCCTAGGTGCATGATTGTAGAGTAAGGGACACATAAAGAGACTTGTACTAACCAGTTCCCCAGCTCAAGGTGGCTCTGAGTGTTTGGGAACACACCCCAAAGCCAGTCCATAGATGCGTACTGTAGAAGATCAGCCTTTAAGTACACCTGTGTGTCTTTGGTGTGGGGGGTTCACCAGGTTGTACCATTGATCTCTGCCAGTGTAAAATTCCAACAAAATAAGGACCATTTGTCCACACTTGAACAAAGGAATGCATGACTCACAATGAACTTAGCAACTCACTTGAAAAAAATTTTATATAGAAGAAAAAGGAGTGTTTTCTTATAATAAAAAATTTACCCAACTCGCCCAGGAATTTACGTGGTGACAAATACTCAGTCTCTTCTCCTCTTCTATGCCTGCCCCTCATCTCTGAATCCCCACATCTTTGGATCAGCCCCAAGTTCTCATACTTTGATTTCTTAAATCATTCTTAAATAATTTACTCTGTTGTTAATCAAGTTTGAAAATACTCGAAGGAACTCCTATCTATATAGGGTTTCATGTAAAACTTATATCTTCTTTCTCTACTTTTTTAATGACTAATTTTTGGGAAGACTATTTCAGCCTGTGGCATATATATTCACGCAGTTTTTGGAAAATTCTCTGGTTTAGGAAGACCTAGGGCTGAAGCAGGGCTGAAAAGGTAAAGGAAAAAAGTGAGATTTTGACAAGAGGAGAAACAGAAAAGGTCTAGGAAAAGAGGGCAAAAAGGCCCCAAAACACTTTTCATCTATTTTATATTTTGATGGAACTAGTCTTAGCCCCAAATAAAAAGACCTACTTTAATTTAGGGGCAGCAGAAGAGAGGCAGAAAGAAAATAAAACCATTGGTGAGGATTAGAATATTTTTAACAAGGATCTACTTTATAATGATAAATATTTAACAACTGGATTACAATTTTCCAAGAAGGGAGAAAAGAAAAAAAAAGACTTGTAGCATGTGTTACTTGATTTCTAGTTTTTGCCAATTTCTGTGGTGTCAATGTTCTCAACATGGCCAATTTAAAGCTGCTAATGTGAGGTCACTGAATATGAGGAAGAGATGCATATGAGCCTGTGCAAATCACCTCTAGCAAAGTTCACTCGGACCTTCATGTTGAAATTGGTAATCCCAAAGAAACAGTAAGGGGTATTTAAAGGTGACAGTGAAACATCACTCTGTAACACTTATTAAATGTGCTTTAAACAATGTCCATTTTTAGAAGTGAATTTTGAATTTTCTTTCTTTTGCCTCACAAGTACCCATGTAAATTTGTGTTGCCCTCTGATTTGGTTATGTCCCAATATTAAAGAGCTTATTTACTTTTTATTTCACTTTGTTAAGGAAAAATATTCCTGTGATGTCAGAATGAGAAGTTACAAGTTAAATACATAAACAGGAATCTGTGGTGATGCCACCTGTATTCTATGTAATCTACAATTCCACAGCAACTCTACTCAGAGCCTGGGATCAAAGCCTGCTTCTGATCCCTCCTTGACGGCTTGGACAATTACTGTTTTTTATTTCTGATCCTTCATGACTCCACATGACATATTGCTAACATATGAATTTAGCAAAACGTCTCATTACTTTAAATGTACTGGGCATTCCTATTTAGATATAACTTGTTTCTGTTTTACTCTGATGCCTTCACAGCATATTAAAATGCTCAGAATCACAGTGGCATTTAACATAATGATGGATTCTGTGTTTATTATGGGTATTCGTAAGTTATTTGTGGATGGTTACGTGTAGGTATTTATGTATAAAAAGCAGATGTTATATTTCTTTATAAGG
Source organism: Homo sapiens (assembly GCF_000001405.40). Lineage (NCBI taxonomy): Eukaryota > Metazoa > Chordata > Mammalia > Primates > Hominidae > Homo > Homo sapiens. The sequence goes on along the minus strand of NC_000008.11, from coordinate 32,269,981 downwards.
CCTCAATACTAACCATTTATGAGGGGACAGAGCACAAGCACTCTAATCACATTGGTTCTCGTGTTACTGAAGCAATGGTTGTTAAATTGCTTCTTAGGCAAAAGGTCCATTTTATCGTTGTTGTTCAAAAACTTCATTAGGAGAAAGAGAAATAAGTTCTCTACAAATATCTGTTTTCTGCCTACCTGCTTGCATTCATGACTCAGCTAATTATTTGACATCTTGAGAGAAAATTCCTTCTTTCTTTTTCCATTGTCTTGTCAGACTATGGCATGATGATTGCACAAAGCAAATTCCTTCACTTTCCCTATGACAGTTTCACTTCAAAAGCTCCCAGACTAACTGTAACTCAGAGAGCTCTTCTCCCTTCCCAGGTACCTGGTCATAGAATTCTGGAATTTCCCAGTCAGTCCTGGCACAGGGAAGCTGCTGCCCCATCCTTGTTCCCCATGGACCTGGAAGCTCTAGACTGTGGTGAGACAGAATGTGAGATGACAAGCAGATCAAAGCTTCACCTCTGGGAAAGACGTCACCAATAGGTTAATAAGAATCGTTGGCAGGATGTAATGGGAAACATTCACAATTCCCAGGGGTTCACAGACTTTTTAGAAATAGTATATGGAGCCTTGATCTATAATTGCTAGAATTTAAAACTATCCTATTATTTCTAGCACTGATCAGCCTATTTAAAAACACAACTTTACCCTCCTTCACTTTATTTCCAAATAGAGTCTTATTAGATTATTTTGATAATTAAGATATCTAAAGGAAGAGACAAAAATAAGGAGTATTTCACAAGATATCTAAAAATGCCTCAGTGTCTTTGATACTATTCTAATAATGAGCATATTTAATAACAATATGGGGAAGGAAGGAAAGAAGGGAGGGAAGGAGGGAGGGAGAGAGGAAAAGAGAGGGAAGGAGGGAAGGAGGAATGTACAGAGGAGGTAAAGTGATTTTCTTAAAGTTTCTGAAGTAAATTGGCTAATGAATATCATCTTGTGAGCTAAGTTAGTTTCCAGGACTTCTAGATTATTTCACTAAATGGGTAATGTATCCCTGTTCTTTAAGTGATGTTCTAATACCACCATGCTTCAAGGGATGGGACTCTGATTTACCCGTCCTTCGTGCTTCCCTGGAGACTTGCACAGGGCTGGTCAAACCATAGAACACAAAAAGACTTGGTTTCATGACTAATCCTGAGTATCACAAACTAAAATCCAGTGCATAATGTGTGGAAAAATTACAGGAGGGAAACACTGAGACACTGTTGAGAGTTGGCTTCTAAGGAACTGCCTCATAGAGACAATGTTTTTGTTTTCTAAAAACCCTGTATAAACAACCCCCTGTGTCATGATTAAGCTTAAATACACATCCATTCACTCATGTATGGACACATGGACACACACACACATGCACATGCTAATAGGGAGAGGGGCAGAGGTGATCAGCCTGTTGAAAGTTTGAATTTATTTTTAATACCCAGATCCTGAATAAATAAGAGTAAAACAAATCAGCATCAATCATCACTATTGACACAGTGTCCATGGATATCACTGGAAAACAAATCCAATTACCAGGACTCACAACAGCTAAAAACTTTTTTAGTAAGTATGTTCATTTTTTATTTCTGTATAACAAATACAGCCACTTAAAACACACATTTATTATCTCACGGGTTATGTGGCTTAGGAATCCTGACTCAGTTATGCTTGTTTCTTTACTTAGGATCTCATAAAGCTGTAATCAAAGTACTGGCTAGGGCTGCAGTCTCATTTGAGGCTCAACCAGGGAAGGCTGTGCTTTCAGGCTCCTTCAGATTGTTGGCAGAATTCACTTCTTTGGTGGCTCAGTTGGAGGCTGCCATGTGGGGTTCCCCAATATGGCCCCTTGGTGCCTCAAAGTCAATAAGGAAGTAAAAGACTCTAGCAAGACATGCACTCCAATCTTACATAAGATAACCATGGAATCACATATATCTGGCCAACTCTGCTGTATTCTCTAGGTTAAAGGTCCGCTGACATTCAAAGAGGGGGAAGCATACAAGGGAGTGAACTTCAGGAGTCAGGGATCACGGGGACCATTTTAAGTCTGCCCATTATAGTAAACGCTGATCTTAAACTGTCACCCAAAATTCCATGGGAAAATGCACGATGGTTTTCTATGAAATTGGTGCATAAATACAGGTATAACATAAGGAAGAGATGAACATCAGCTCCATTTTAGGAGAGAAGAAAACAAATTCCTGAAACTGAGATTATCTGAATTACCAATAAATAAAAAACAAACAGAACTCAAAACAGAAAACATCACAACACATGTACCTGATGTAATTCTGTCCAACAGGGATTCAGGGAATTATTGACTGCTCATGGTAATGACTGTGATAAAATCTGCAGTATACCTTCATTTGGTACAAGAAATTTGGGTGAGTTTTCTTCTAGATTCAAAGGGAATCTTACTTTTATTTTTAATTATGTTTGATATCCTGTGGTCCTCTGAGAAAACACTATTCTCTTCTTTGTATTTGGCAAATGAGAGAGCTCATTTTGAAAGGCACAACTACATCTAAGCCAGGGGGAAAAGTTGACTTGTGCCAACTGCCTTATCTTCAGTGGAATTAAATGGCACACTTTTCCAAAGAATAGTGGATTTTTGGCCTTGCTCGCACTACATTATCTTTTACAATGGAATTACAAAATGTGGTTTACAGACCATTGTCTGGGACACATCATTTTACATTACAGTGTGTAATGGATGGAAAGAATATTTTTCCTTCCTTCCTTCCTTCCTTCTTTCTCCTTCCTTCCTTCTTTCTCCTTCCTTCTTTCTCCTTCCTTCCTTCTTTCTCCTTCCTTCCTTCCTTCCCTCCTTCCTTCCTTCCTTTCTCTCTCTTTCTCTCTCTCTTTCTTTTTTTCTTTCTTTCTTTTTTTGAGATGGAGTCTGGCTCTGTCACCCAGGCTGGAGTGCAGTGGCGCAATCTTGGCTCACTGCCACCTCCGCCTCCCAGGTTCAAGTGATTCTCCTGCCTCAGCCTCCTGAGTAGCTGGGATTACAGGCATGTGCCACCACGTCTGGCTAATTTTTTTTTTTTTTTTTTTTGTATTTTTAGTAGAGACGTGGTTTTACTGGGTTAGCCAGGATGATTTCGATCTCCTGACCTCATGATCCACCCACCTCAGCCTTCCAAAGTGCTGGGATGACAGGCATGAGCCACCCTACCCAGCCCAGAAAGAATTTTTTCTTAAGAATCATTATTCTTTTCCTGTTTTGGGGCTAGAATATTGTGTTTTGATAATCTTCAGAACTGTAGATACACTGTATTTTTAACAATAAGATTCTATTGAGGTGAAACACTATTATTTTTTGTACCTCTTAGATAGCACTTAATCTTAATATTTCTTGCTAATTTTATCTGCCCTGGCTGACATCCCTTCCTCTTCTGAAGCATCCTTCCTCAATGGTGTTTTCCCAGAACTAAGGAACTCATCTTCCTTAGATAGAAAATCCATGACAGTTTGGGAAAATCAAGTCAGGAGACAACACAATGGGCTTGGTCCTTTCAAGAAATTTAGGCTAAGCTGTTAGATATTAATATTCTTGGATCTTGTTAAATAAAGGATTATTGAAAAAGTGTATGTGCTGCCTCAGGGATGAGGAAGTAGCTTCACTTCCAAAATTAAGCATTCCTTGTGTCTCACTGGTGGGATTAATCTTCTTGGTTGTTAGCTTCATGTTTCATAAGAAAGTTTTTATATGAAAACCAAAGGATCATTTTCTACTCCTACACATCAGCGCACACTGTTGGGAAACTATCATTTACACATTGTTCAGATTCCACCCAAAAGGTCACAGACTGACACAGAAGAGATAAAATGTTTCCTTTATGGTAAAACATTTTTAATGGACAATCATCTCTTAGTATCCTCAAAGTATTGGTTCCAGGACCCCCCAAGGATACCAAAATCTGCAAATGCTCAAGTCCCTGATGTAAAACGGCGTAGTATTTGCCTATAAGCTACATACATTCTTTCCTATATTTTAAATCATCTCTAGATTACTTGTAATACCTAATATAACATAAATGCTATCTAAATAGTTGTTATATTGTATTGATTTTTATTTTTATTATTTTTTTAAAGACAGGGTCTCATTCTGTCACCCAGGTTGGAGTGCAGCGGTGCAATCATGGCTCACTATAGCCTCCACCTCCTAGGATCAAGTGATCCTCCCATCTCAGCCTCCCCAGTAGCTGGGTCTACAGATGCATGCCACCAAACCCAGCTAATTTTTTAAACTTTTAGTAGACACAGGTTCTCACCATGTTGCCAGGCTGACCTAAAACTCCTGAGCTCAAGTGATCCTCTAGCCACAGCCTCCCAAATTGCAAGGATTATAGGTGTGAGCTATTGCACCCACCCAGCCTACATTAGTTTTTATTGTATTTTTAAATTTTTTTTTCTGAATATTTTTGACCCATGGTTGGTTGAATGTATGCAGAACCTACAGACAGGGAGGGTCAACTGGACCTTACTTTTTATTTAAAAAGGTCACTGGAGTTATGAAATATAGCTATGATAAATATCACACAGACTAGTCAGTCTTTACTGACAGCAATATTATTTTTTTAATTAATTAATTCTTTTTTAGATAGGGTCTCTCTCTGTTGCCCAGGCTGGAGTGCAGTGGTACAATCTTGGCTCACTGCAGCCACCACCTCCTGGGATCAAGAGATCTTCCTATCTGAGCCTCCTGAGTAGCTGGGACTATAGGTGTACACCACTATGCTTAGATAATTTAAAATTTTTTCTGTAGAGAGGTCTCACCATATTTGCCAGGTTGTCTTAAACTCCTGGACACAAGCAATCCTCCTGCCTTGGCCTCCCACAGTGCTTGGATTACAGGCGTGAGTCACTGCACCCGGCCTGATAGCAATTTTAGATGACAAAGGGAAAAAAAATGTCATCGTCACATAGTAGTGCAGACACTATACTTTTTGACAATCTATCAGCAAGTGGGTTTGTTCCTTTGACCACCCAATTCTTTCATCCTGTATTTCCGTTGAACTTTTTCTTTGCATATCTAGGCAGCCTTCAAGTCCCTGTTGATATGCCACTTCCTCCACGAAGTCTTTCCAAACCGTATCTTTCAGAATCCTTTTTTTTTTTCCTGTGGCCTCACAGTATTGGAACCACTAATAGAGCAGTAATTTCTTTCTCATTCATGCCACAGTTAGCTTTTTTAGTCTTTTCTAACTAAATTATAAGTTAAATGCCACAATTAGTTTCTTATGTCTTTTCTAACTAAAATATAAGTTCAGTGACAAAAGCATTCAGCTTATGGTTTCTGTTTTACCACAGTGCATTGCAAATTGTAGACCTTTGCTATACAAACAAGAAATGTCCCTCCCGTCTTTTTATCATAGACTGTTGTGCAGTGTCTTCACAGCTGGTTTGTCTGCATATCACAGCAATTCTGAACCTTGGAGTTAACCAGGTTTTCTCTTTTGTTTTTGCTTACTAGAAAGCTTGATTTACATTTAGGCCTCCCTCTAGACTTTGATTATACACATTTTTTTGTGCTAATGTTACCTCTGTCTTTAATGTTTTCTTTCTTTTTTTAAAAAGAAAATTTAATTTTTTTCCCTCAAATGAATTCAATTAGTTATATTAACTCTTTACATTTATATATTTATGTGACTACTTTAAATCAAGAAGGATTGACAGACAATTAAAAATTAAGAAAATAAACAGATACCCAATAAACAATCATACAATTTATTAGACAAATTCTTCTTATACAGGAGTTTTTTGTGGCTGTGTCAGTTTCAAAAAAGTGGTAATTAATAAAGAATGTTAATCTTTGAAAATAACAAACCTTTATTACCTGTATGAATTTTTTCCCCCATGACAGTGTGTTATTAATAGAACTTCCCAGATAGCAGGCAGGCAAGTTTGCTGTTGGCCTCAGATCCCATTTCCTTATGTGTAAATGAGGGGGTAGGGCTAAAAGATCCCTAGGGTCTCCTCAGTTTCTCACATTATGTGATTCTTAAATACCCTCAGCTCTCCCCGTCTCTCTACCTGTGTTGACACAGCCTCAGAACATTAGGGAGGAGGTTTGAAATTTGAAATAAATCTTTTGGACTTTTAGATTTCACTGAGTGCTGATTTAGATTTCTACACTGATGACGAATTAAGAAACAGCTGCTGGGAGAATTGACAGTGTGGGGATTTATATGGGGCCCACCCACGATAATCTTGAAATTTTTCCTAAGCTTCACAGTTATGTGAGTGGGTGTATGGGGAAAATATTTTTTTAAAAAGTTAATCTATATATAGCTAATTGAGCAGAAAAGTAACTAGTGACTTCACATATATTCTCTTCTTTGATAGTTAGTCGTTTAAAGTCTTTGGGAAACTATCGAGGAAGAAGACAAAGCAAACGTAGCAAGACAGAAGGAAAAGAGATAACAAAAAGTGCGGGTCTGACAATGGGAGCAGGATGGGGGGCTCTCACTGTGGAAATGAAATTCCATCATCCCTACTTCTACATTCTCCCAGTGCCCCACGCTTTCCTGGACTTACCTTATCGCTCACACATGCATGTCCCAAGAATGCCAGACAGGAAGGCAGTGTGCCATAATGCTTAGTACACATGCTTTGGGGCCTCCTGCCATCTAGGTACTGTCCGTGTAACCTTGGTTAGTTTCCTGATCTATCCTGATTATTGTCTGTACCATGGAGCTAATAATAGCACATAGGGGATAGCATAGGGATGTTATAATGATTAAATGATATGATGTGTTTACAATGTGGAGCACAGTGTCTGTCATTCATTCAATACATATTTACCAAACATCTACTGTGTGCCAAAATCTAGTTGACACTTGGATATGTCCATGAACAGATCAGATAAAGATTTCTGCCCATGGGAATCTTATTTTATACATAGCCAATTAAGAGGACCCATTAACAAGTAGCCTAGAAGAGAAGGTACCACGTGCAAGCTTAATATTTTTTATTATGGGACTGGATGAGGAGGAAGAGTTAGATAAAGGGATGGTATGAGTGGCCAGGGCCCCTTAGCTTGGCAAACTCTCATGATTTGTCATCTGCAGGATTTGACCAACCTATTATTTACATATTTTCTAACCTGTCCATGTATTAATATATTCTTAACTTTTTCAACATTCGAAAGAAAAACAAAAAATGTATAACCAAAATACAACAAATTATTCTAACAAGAAATCTCCTCTGTTAGAACCTCTAACCACTTCCCTGTGACAGATATATTTTTTTCCCATTTTTCAAAATTGTTTTCTATTAAACTTAAGGTAATAAACTTTGTAGTGGGTTTTACAATCAAGGGCATATAAATGTATATTTGATAACATTGACTGTCATTTTGCAGAGTGAATTTTAAAAATACACATTTTCACAAGGGAAATATACCACATAGAAGAGATATAAAATGAGGTGTCTGCGGTTGAGTGTTTATAGTTCCACAGCTGCAAAGCATCTACAAAACCGCTAGTACTTTACGGAGAATCCTGACAAATTCTGATTCTTGCTTTCACACCTCCAGCATTTTTTGGGGGGGTCTCCTGATTCTGCAAATGCAAATAAGTTGGACTTCTTCTGTACCCACTATACATCAAAGAACTATTTAATTGGAGGTTGTGTTGGAAATTCTTAGTAGCAAGCAGTCCTGTCTGTACAAGGAGCTGGAACAAAGAGAGGATTTAAAATGCATTTGCAAAATTTGTGATTTATATGAATCCTCTCTTTTTCCTAAGTTTTCAGGGTTACCCTGAATTGGTAAAGAATGCTGTGCCCCAAACCTTCCACACATCATGTGGTTTACGCTCACAACAATCTTGCATGTAAGTAATAATTAGTAATACTTTTCATTTATTATAGATAGAGAACAATTACAAAAAGGTTATGTAAGTTTCTTGAGTCTTTAAGTGGCAGATCTAGGGTTTGAATTCAAGGCGATCTGGATCCAAAGCCCAGGTTCACTGAGGACAGTGTATGCAAGTATAGCTCAGAGAACTGTAAGCCTGGGGGCATGAATCCCAATGCAAGATAGTCTTAATAATACCGGCAAAGGAAAGAATATTCTGCAAGGGAACACTATTAAAACACATTTAACATTCATCACAAAGTATTACATGCATATATTAACACTCAGATATAAGTCCCAAATTAGGGTATAGAAAATTGAATGTCTGTTTTAGCTTCTGAAATGAGAATGCCTAAGGTAATCTTTTCTGGCCTTTACCGTCCAATACAAGGGGGGAGTGGAGGTGTTAAAAGCGCAACTGTTGGTCCTCACTCCCTAGAGATTCTGATTCAATAGATTTTGGGTGGGGAACAAGCATGTGTATTTTACAAACATTCTTCAGGTGAAGTTGATGTGCAGACAGAACTCAAAAAAGAAGGCTTAATGATATTTAATATTTGTACTAATTCAATCCCTGTCCATGTGTCAGCAATGTCTATCTTAAAAAGGCTAGTAAGAAAAGCCTCCGTTTCGAATTCATTGCCCTTCTAGTTTTATTATTAAATAAAGATATACACACACCAGCACACACACACACACACACACACACACACACTAATAGGAGCATAGGTAGAGGTCTTGTTTTTGTAAACATTTTAAATCATCATGTAGTAACACACGTGTTATTCTGAATTAGATCTGGGAAAAGAAAAAGGATAATAATGAAAAAACTGATGAAATATGAGTAAAGTCTGAATTTGAGTGAATAGAATTATACCAATGTGAATTTATTTTTTGGACAACTGTGCCACACTTATGTAAGTTTTCCACATTAGCATAAGCTAGAAGACAGGTATACAGGAACTCTCTGTACTATCTTTGCAACTTTCTTTTCCCATAAATCTAAGGTCATGCCTAGATAAAAAGTGTTTTGTTTAAAAGAGTCATCATATCAAGTACAAAACTATTAAAGTGTTTATTTTCATTTTCCAAGTTATGAGGTGTATCCTCCAGTGGCCAATAAGCATTAAGTGTTTTTCTTCCATAACTTAAACTGTAAGTAACAATAGGGAAAAAAGTGAGAAGGGAGAAAATGAAGACAGACAGGGGCAAGATCAAGGAAAGCAAAGAGAGCAATGAGGGCAAGCAAAGTCTGCCATAGCCCAGCCCACAGTGGGTGCCGAAGGCCATATACTGCTACCCTGAGTCACAGAGAGCATGAAGCTCCTTTGAGAGATTTCCTTTTGCTAGCCATCCTACTCTACGCAGTACTAAACTGTTGCATGACTTTAGCATTTAGCAGAAGGCATGGGGCAGGGCCCTGGAAGGACATGAAGAATCAAAGTCTGAGAGTTGTTGAGAAAGGAAATAAATAAAGTAGGTGCTTAATGCCAATGCAAATTAACTTAAGAAATTAAGACATACTCATCTATAGTGCATTAAAAAAGGATAAGTGGGGATAGGGAAAGGATGAAGGGAGAATGTCAGGAGCAAAAGACCTGAGCACTAAGGCCTTTGGTATTTTGTTCTATGGACTGACCCCATGTGGAGGTGAAGGGTGGAATTATTGGCACAGCCTGGCACTTGCTCTAAAGTTGCATGTTTTGTCTATGACTATTTGCTAAATTAATGACATAAACTTCTGTTGCTACATAAGACTTCAAAATTATCTAGGACGTCATCTTCAGTTTTTCCAAAGGACTTCTGCCTCAGAGAGACTTCCTTCTTTCAGCCCCATGCTTTTCACTGGAGAGCTTTATCCTTGATGCATCTTTCCTACTAAAACCAGCATGGTGAGGATATATAGTTGTTTTAGTAATCCCATTTCTATTTGAGCAAGTTCAGGCATTTGAAGTGGACACACCCAGGTTTGGAGGTGTGTATGACAATGGTGTCCCAGTATCACTCATTTTATCAAGTTGGGGCAGAGAAGTGTACATGAATATGACATGAGTTACAACATGTTTGGAGCTTATGAACAATTTAATTACCAAGTTCAAGATTCGGTTGACAGCCAAGTCCCAGAACTTGTGAAATAGAAAGAAAAGAAAATGAAATGAATGAAATATAACTCTTGTATAAAGCTGATTGCAGAGGCTGATGAGAAAAGGAGAGAGGTGTAAAGAAAAAAAGCCCTCATAAAAGTCCACATAAGTAATTTGGAATGTGATTATGTAAACTGGAACAAGGGTAAAACCCACAGGTTTTTATATTTGACAGAAATGAGAGTATAGGGAAAAGGAAGGTTGAATTCATTTACCTTCTCTATTTACATTTCCCTGATGTTCAGACACCTATACTTTGGTAGTCTTGCACTGACTAAAACAATGTTGAGGGGTAACATGAACTGTTGGGGGAGGGTAATTATGTGTCTTCCTTTATGTCTTGTCTGTTTTCTGCTGCTATAACAGAATACCATCAACTGGGCAATTTATAAAGAAGAGAAGTTATTTGGCTCATGGTTCTGGGGCTGGGAAGTCCAAGAACATCATGCTGGCATCTGGGGATGGTGATCCCATGGCAGAAGGTGGAAGGATGAAGTGAGCACTGAAGATGGAGTGGACGGGGGTGAAATTTATGCTTTTATCAGGAACCCTCTCCCACAATAACTAACCCACTCCTGTGATAACTAACCCACTCCTGCAATAATGACATTAATGTATTTATGAAGGCAGAGCCCTCATGGCCTAATCGCCTGTTAAAGGCCCCATCTCCTAATACCATTACAATGGCAATTTTATTTCAACCTGAGTTTTGATAGGGACATTCAAACCATAGCACTTTGTAACTGCAGAAACTCAAACTTACTTGGTTTTTCTCATTTGGCATTTTCAGTCTGGAAGGTAAGTCTCAAGTTAGAATATCTGCATTACTGGCAGGGATTCGGATTCATGAGAGAAATCATTTGGATTTACCAAGTCTATAACCCGGAGTCAAGTATTTGCAGGTCTCTTATTGATCTCGGGTAAGTAATAAGCTGGTGTGCTGACTTCCATTTCCTTTTGCACTGGCAATTGGATGCTAATATTGCCCAATCTAAGTTTTCCTCTCTCAAGAGGTTATATAATGTAGTGGTTAAGGGCCTGGACTACAGAGGCAGATGGTCCATGTTTGATTTTTAACTCCACTATTTGTTTGTACCTGATATGTTTTGGCTGTGCCCACATCCAAATCTCATCTCGAATTGTAATCCCCATAATCCCCATGTGTGGAGAGAGGGACCTAGTGGGAGGTGATTGGATCATGGGGGTGGTTTTGTCTGTGCAAAAAACCTTGTGATAGTGAGTGAGTTCTCACGAGATCTGATGGTTTTATAAGTGTTTGACAGTTCCTCCTTCACACACTCTCTCTCTCTCTCACCTGCCACCATGTAAGATATGCCTGCTTCCTCTTCCACATAACTGTACGTTTCCTGAGGCCTCCCTAGCCATGCAGAACTGTGAGTCAATTAAACCTCTTTCCTCTATACATTACCCAGTCTTAGGAAGTTCTTTATAGCAGTGTGAAAATGGACTAATACAGAAGCTCATTTTTCTTGTCTGTGCAATGGGGATAACAGTACTTACAGTGTTGTAAGGAATAAATGAGTTCTTAGAAGCAAAGTGCATGAAATGATCTCTGTCATATAATAAACACTATATAAAGATCAGCTGTTATCATTGTTATCATTCACTGTGGGAAGGTCAAATCTTTATTTTTTCCTCAACTGTGAAAAGCTATTTCAGAATGAGAGAGGAAGAAAGATGACAGACAAAGAGACTGAGTCAAATCCTCTCCTTCCTTCACACGTAAATGCATAAGGAAGCCTTCAGGAGATGAGTGTGCATAAATGAAGGTGAAAATTTGGCTTTGTGTCTTAAAAAAGAGTTCCTCCAGAGGTCGACACAGTCATCAGTTTAATTCTTGAGTTTCTTATTCTGTTGATATGTGTCCTATATTGGAAACCATAAACTGGGCAAGAGTTTTCAACACTTCTTGGACTATAGCTATTAAATCAGTCTTTTGAATCACATTCTGCACAAAATATGGTTATACTTAACACATGGTCATGGTTTTATATGTTAAACAGGGTGCCAAAATTTATTAAACTAATCTTTCTTTTAAATGACCCTAAACATTACTATTTCTTATACAGTGGATTTCAGAGTGAGTTATTGAGTTTTAAATCACTTTTAGAAGTGAGACAAGAGACACAGGTCTTCAAGTCAATAGTGGTCTTTTAGGAAGTGGGTCGCCCTGCCCCTTTTATGAAGTTATAGCCAGATGTGAATTATCACTTCATGGCAGGGTAGGAGTGGAAATCAAGAGTTATCTAGTGTATTCTAGCCTTTCAGATTTCATGAGATAGTAAAATAATACTTAAAAAAATTATGGACTGACAAGTTTCCAAATTTATTTTTGAAGAAAAAAAAATCGTCAGCTACTAACACTATATGTAAAGAAGAATATCTTAACACTTTGATCCACATGTTATATATATTTGATGTGAACTGTGTACATGAACACATTATCAAAGAGATCCTCTCAAGAAGTTGAATGTGAGAAGGAAAAGTTCTATATTTTCCAATAAAAGAAATATGGCTTGAAGCACAAAACTGGTTACCATATGGGCAGACACCAAGCTAGCTGCAGGAGTTTTTTTTCATACCAGTGGCACCTGGAATGCCAGTGAGACAGAACTGTTCACTCCCCTGGAAAGGGGGCTGGAGTCAGGGAGCCAAGTGATCTAGCTCAGCGGATCCCACCCACATGGAGCCCAGCAGGCTAAGATCCACTGGCTTGAAATTCTCGCTGCCAGCATAGCAGTCTGAAGTCCACCTGGGACACTCTAGCTTGGTTAGGGGAGGGGTGTCCACCATTACTGAGGCTTCAGTAGGCAGTTTTCCCCTCACAGTGTAAATAAAGCACCAAGAAGTTCGTACTTGGCAGAGCCTACCACAGCTCAGCAAAGATGCTGTAGTCAGATTGCCTCTCTAGATTCCTCCTCTCTGGGCAGGGCATCTCTGAAAGAAAGGCAGCAGCTCCAGGCAGGGGTTTATAGATAAAACTCCCATCTCCCTGGAACAGAGCACCCGGGGGAAGGGGCAGCTGGGGGTGCAGCTTCAGCAGACTTAAACATTCCTTCCTGCCGGCTCTGAAGAGAGCAGCAGAACTCCTAGCACAGTGCTCAAGTTCTGCTAAGGGACAGACTGCCTCCTCAAGTGGCTCCCTGATCCCCATCCCTCTCGACTGGGAGAAACCTCCCAGCAGGGGTTGACAGACACCTCACACAAGAGAGCTCCAGCTGGCATCTGGCAGGTGTCCCTCTGGGACAAAGTTTTCAGAGGAAGGAACAGGCAACAATCTTTGCTGTTCTGCAGCCTCTGCTGGTGATACCCAGGCAAACAGGGTCTCCCATCCAAGTATAACCAGGCCCGACCCTGCTTAGCTTCTGAGATCAGACGAGATCGGGCGCATTCAGGGTGGTATGGCCGTAGACACAAACAGGGTCTCGAGTGGACCTCCAGCAAACTCCTGCAGACCTGCAGTAGAGAGGCCTGTTAGAAGGAAAACTAACAAACAGAAAGGAATAGCATCAATATCAACAAAAAGGACATCCACACAAAAACCCCATCCAAAGGTCACCAGTATCAAAGACCAAAGGTAGATAAATCCACACAGATGAGGATAAATCAGTGCAAAAAGCCTGAAAATTCCAAAAACCAGAACACCTCTTCTCCTCCAAAGGATCACAAACTCCTCACCAGCAAGGGAACAAAACTGGATGGAGAATGAGTTTGATGAATTGACAGAATTAGGCTTCAGAAGGTGGGTAATAACAAGCTCCTCCCAATGCAAGGAAGGTAAGAAACTTGAAAAAAGGTTAGAGGAATTGCTTACTAGAATAACCACTTTACAGAAGAACATAAAGACCTGATGGAGCTGAAAAACACTGCATGAGAACTTTGCGAAGCATACACAAGTATCGACAGCTGAATAGATCAGGCAGAAGAAAGACTATCAGAGACTGAAGATCAACTTAATGAAATAAAGCATGAAGACGAGATTAGAGAAAAAAGAATGAAAAGGAACAAACAAAGCCCCTAAGAAATATGGGACTACGTGAAAAGACCAAACTTACATTTGATTAGTGTACCTGAAAGTCACGGGGAGAATGGAACCAAGTTGGAAAACACTCTTCAGGATATTATCCAGGAGAACTTCCCCAACCTGGCAAGAGAGGCCAACATTCAAATTCAGGAAATACAGAGAACACCATAAAGATAATCCTCAAGAAGAGCAACCCCAAGACACACAATCGTCAGATTCACCAAGGTTGAAATAAAGGAAAAAATGTTAAGGGCAGCCAGAGAGAAAGGTCAAGTTGCCCACAAAGAGAAGCCCATTTCTTCAAGAAAGTCCAAGACTAACAGAGGAATTCTCTGCAGAAACCCTACAAGCCAGAAGAGATTGGGGGCCAATATTCAACACTCTTAAAGAAAAGAATTTTCAACCCAGAATTACATATCCAGCCAAACTAAGCTTCATAAGTGAAGGAGAAATAGAATCCTTTACAGACAAACAAATGCTGAGAGGTTTTGCCACCACCAGGTCTGCCTTACAAGAGCTCCTGAAGGAAGCACTAAATATGGAAAGGAAAAACTGGTAACAGCCACCACAAAAACATACCAAATTGTAAGGACCATTGACACTATGAAGAAACTGCATCAACTAACAGGCAAAATAACCAGCTAGCATCATAATGACAGGATCAAATTCACATATAACAATATTAACCTTAAATGTAAATGGGCTAAATGCCCCAATTAAAGACACAGACTGGCAGATTGGAGAAAGAGTCAAGACCCATTGGTGTGCTGTATTCAGGAGACACGTCTCACGTGCAAAGACACACACAGGCTCAAAATAAAGGGATGGAGGAATATTTACCAAGATATGGAAAGCAAGAAAAAGCAGAGGTTGCAATCCTAGTCTCTGATAAAACAGACTTCAAATCAATAAAGATAAAGACAAAGAAGGGCATTATGTAATGGTAAAGAGATCAATGCAACAAGAAGAGTTAACTATCCTAAATATATACACATCCAAATACAAGGAGCAACCAGATTCCCAATATGAGGAGCACCCAGATTCATAAAGCAAGTTCTTAGAGACCTACAAAGAGACTTAGACTCCCACACAATAATAGTGGGGACTTTAATACCTGACTGTCAACATTAGACAGATCAACAAGACAGAAAATTAACAAGGATATTCCATTGAACTCAGCTCTGGACTAAGCAGACTTAATGGACATCTACAGAACTCTACACCCCAAATCAACAGAATTTACATTCTTCTCAGCACCACATCTCACTTATTCTAAAACTGACCACATAATTGGAAGTGAAACACTCCTCAGCAAACACAAAGGAATGGAAATCATAACAGTCTCTTTGACCACAGTGCAATCAAATTAGAACTCAGGATGAAGAAACTCACTCAAAGCCACACAACTACATGGAACCTGAACAACCTGCTCCTGAATGACTACTGGGTAAATAATGAAATGAAGGCAGAAATAAATAAGTTCTTTGAAACCAATGAGAACAAAGACACAGCGTACCAGAATATCTGGGACACAGCTAAAGCAGTGTGTAGACGGAAATTTATAGCACTAAATGCCCACAGGAGAAAGTGGGAAAGACACCCTAACATCACAGTTAAAAGAACTAGAGAAGCAAGAGCAAACAAATTCAAAAGCTAGCAGAAGGCAAGAAATAACTAAGAACAGAGCAGAACGGAAGGAGATAGAGACATGAAAAACCCTTTAAAAAATCAATGAATCCAAGAGCTGGTTTTTTGAAAAGATTAAAAAATAGATAGACCACTAGCCAGACTAATAAAGAAGAAAAGAGAGAAGAATCAAATAGACACAATAAAAAAATGATGAAGGGGATATCACCACTGATCCCACAGAAATACAAACTACCATCAGAGAATACTATAAACACCTCTACGCAAATAAACTAGAAAATCTAGAAGAAATTGATAAACTCCTAGACACATACACCCTCCCAAGACTAAACCAGGAAGAAGTCAAATCCCTGAATAGACCAATAACAAGTTCTGAAATTGAGGCAGTAATTAATAGCCTACCAATCGAAAAGCCCAAGACCAGACAGATTCACAGCCGATTTCTACCAGAGGTACAAAGAGGAGCTGGTACCATTCCTTCTGAAACCATTCCAAATGACAGAAAAAGAGGTACTTCTCCCTAACTCATTTTATGATGCCAGCATCATCCTGATAGCAAAACCTGGCAGAGGCAAAACAAAAAAAGAAAATGCCAGGCTAATAACCCTGATGAACATTGATGCAAAAATCCTGAATAAAATACTGGCAAACTGAATCCAGCAGCACATCAAAAAGCTTATCCACCACGATCAAGTCAGCCTCATCCCTGGGATGCAAGGCTGGTTCAACATACACAAACCAATAAACGTAATCCATCACATAAGCAGAACCAATGACAAAAACAACATGATTGTCTCAATAGATGCAGAAAAGGCCTTCCATAAAATTCAATGCTACTTCATGCTAAAAGCTCTCAATAAACTACCTATTGATGGAATGTATCCAAAAATAATAAGAGTCATTTATGGCAACCCCCCAGGCAATATCATACTGAATAGGCAAAAACAGGAAGCATTTGAAAACTGGCACAAGACAAGGATGCCCTCTGTCACCACTCCTATTCAACATTGTATTGGAAGTTCTGGCCAGGGCAATCAGGCAAGAGAAAGAAATAAAGTATATTCAAATTGGAAAAGAGGAAGTCAAATTGTCTCTGTTTGTAGATGACATGATTGTACATTTAGAAAACCCCATCTTCTCAGCCCAAAATCTCCTTAAAATGATAAGCAATTTCAGCAAAGTTTCAGAATACAAAAACAATGTTTAAAAACCACAAGCATTCCTATACATCAATAATAGAAAAACAGAGAGCCAAATCATGAGTGAACTCCCATTCACAATGGCTACAAAGAGAATAAAATCCCTAGGAATACAACTTACAAGGGATGTGAAGGACGTCTTCAAGGAGAACTACAAACCACTGCTCAAGGAAATAAGAGAGGATACAAACAAATGGAAAAACATTCCATGCTCATGGATAGGAAGAATCAATATCATGAAAATGGCCATACTGCCCAAAGTAATTTATAGATTCAATGCTATCCCCATCAAGCTACTATTGACTTTCTTCACAGAATTAGATAAAACTACTTTAAATTTCATATGGAACCAAAAGAGAGCCTGTATAGCCAAGACAATCCTAGGCAAAAAGAACAAAGCTGGAGGCAACAAGCTACCTGACTTCAAACTATACTACAAGGCTACAGTAACCCAAACAGCATGGTACTGGTACCAAAACAGATATATAGACCAATGGAACAGAACAGAGGCCTCAGAAATAATGCCACACATCTACAACTATCTGATTTTTTACAAACCTGACAAAAACAAACAATGGGGAAAAGATTCCCTATTTAATAAATGGTGTTGGGAAAACTGGCTAGCCATATGCAAAAAACTGAAACTGGACCTCTTCCTTACACCTTATACAAAAATTAACTCAAGATGGATTAAAGACTTACACATAAGACCTAAAACCATAAAACTCTGGAAGAAAACTGACGCAGTATCATTCAGGACATAGGCATGGGCAAAAACTTCATGATTAAAACACCAAAAGCAATGGCAACAAAATCCAAAATTGATGAACAGGATCTAATTAAACTAAAGAGCTTTTGCACAGCAAAAGAAACTATTATCAGAGTGAACAGGCAACCTACAGAATGAGAGAAAAATTTTGCAATCTATCCATCTGACAAAGGGCTAATATCCAGGATCTACAAGGAACCTAAACAAATTTACAAGAAAAAAACAATCCCATCAAAAAATGGGCAAAGGACATGAGCAGATACTTCACAAAAGAAGACATTTATGTGGCTAACAAACATATGAAAAAATCGTCATCACTGGTCATTAGAGAAATGCAACTCATCATCACTGGTCATTAGAGAAATGACATTATGCAGCTAACATTAGAGAAATGACCATTATGCGGCTAACAAACATATGAGAAAATCATCATCACTGGTCATTAGAGAAACGCAACTCATCATCACTGGTCATTAGAGAAATGCAACTCAAAACCACAATGAGATACCATCTCACGCCGGTTTGAATGGCGATCATTAAAACATCAGGAAACAAGATGCTAGAGAAGATGTGGAGAAATAGGAACACTTTTACACTGTTGGGAGTGTAAATTAGTTCAACCATTGTGGAAGACAGTGCGGCGATTCCTCAAGAATCTAGAACCAGAAATACCATTTGACCCAGCAATCCCATTACTGGGTATACACCCAAAGGATTATAAGTCACTCTATTATAAAGACACATGCACACATATGTTTATTGTAGCACTATTCACAATAGCAAAGACTTGGATCCAACCCAAATGCCCATCAATGATAGAATGGATAAAGAAAATGTGCCACATATACACCACAAAATACTACGCAACCATAAAAAAGGTTGAGTTTGTGTCCTTTGCAGGGACATGGATGAAGCTGAAAGCTATTATTCTCAGCAAACTAACACAGGAACAGAAAAACAAACACTGCATATTCTTACTCATAAGTGGGAGTTGAACAGTGAGAACACATGGACACAGGGAGGGGAACATCACACACCAGGGCCTGTTGTGGGGTGGGGGGAGCGGGGAGGGATAGCATTAGGAGAAATACCTAATGTAGATGATGGGTTGATGGGTGCAACAAACCACCATGGCAAGCGTATGCCTATGTAACAAACCTGCACATTCTGCACATGTATCCCAGAACTTTAAGTATAATAATAATAATAATAATAAATATGGCAATTTTTATACTAGAATGTAAATTTCAACTAAGCAGTAACTTTGCCTTTCTTGTTTGCCTCCAATTAACATGAACCATTCTTAAGATATAAAAGGCACTGAATATTTGTTGAATAACTAACTAAATATACATGTCTACAAATTTATTATAAATAAGTATACATGTCTGCAAATTACATTGTCATCATTTGTCTCAATTTTTCATTACAGACTATCTCTGGTAAAATATCATCACCGAAACATGGCATTGGAAACTGCTGATCTATTAAAATATTTATAGGAATCTGCCATATACTTGTGTGAAAAAAAAGACCAGAAGGCAAAATATTTGTATTCTTAAAAACCACAGAAACTACACTAGTAAAATTTTGAAAAGGTTACTAAATTCATTTTATAATAACAGTTTTAAAAGATTTTCCAGTGGACTTCAAACTGTGTGTTGCATTGCATTCGTGGAAATCCATTTTAATGAGTCACTATAAGCTATAAAAAAATGAAATAGAACAGCTGGGAATAGACTAGAAGGTATCAGTGTCATCATACACTGTGAAGTTTTGTGTTATGAAAATCATTAAACTATTGTTGCAGTTAAATAAACACATGCAGAGGTAATAATGAATGCATTTTCGATGGTGGATCTCAGTGGCAAAAAGTCTGTGATCCACTAATGTAGACCTTGTTCTTGCTTCTCATCAAATACTAGGCCATTTCCAAAAGATCTCCCTTCATTGCTTGCTTAGACAGAGAGAATAAAGCCTTCCTTGGGATGATGTTCCATAATGAATGACTAAAATGTAGTGGAACTTGGCTAGATGCTTTATATCAACCGTTTTTATGGAGTTGATTGGAAGGTAAAACAGTAAACATTTCATATAGCCTCAACAAAAAAGACAGTTTGAAAGAGATCAGACAGAGAGGATGAAAGGCATGAAAAATATTCAATCTTACCTGAGCCCTGTGCTTCCGGAAAAGAGTAATGATTAAGAAACCTCTCTACCCTTTAGTGTCTGGCAAACAACTAATGCAAAGGCCCAAACTGCCTTCCCATATTCTGAGATAAGACCCATCTCCACCCTTCTTCATGACTTTTATAAGACTTCTGGATGACTCCCGTTTTTTCTTGCCCCTATAGAACCCCAGACCCCCTTCCTTTTCTTCAAGATATTCACCATAAATCAATGTTCTCCATTTTGCAATGCTTTGAATAAAATCTTCTCTTTAATGACCTAGTGCATCCTGTATTTGATAGTTTGGTGCCATGATATGGATCTCCTGCACTGGGATCTTTGTTTACTCAACACAGGTAATAAGGCTTATTTGGGCCCTTTGTGCTCCATTCCTGGTCCAAGGAACTATGAATAAGTCTAACTCCTGGTCCTGTGATATGGACCCTTGTCTATTGGTAGCAAGGCAAGGTTTTAGTACTCACTTGATTTCTGGCACTGGCTTTGGTTTTGTGGTCTGACCACTTGGTGATCTCTGAGAGGGGATTAATGACTTTTAGAGATCTTGTATCTTATGGGTGAAAGACAACAGAGAATTTGGTTTGCTACGCTTTTCTGTTTGTCTGTTTTGAGCTCAAATCACTTAAGAATCATGAGAACAGAACAGCTCTTTGATATGAAACAGTAAGTTTTGTGATTCTGTGTCCACTCTTGACCCATGGCTTAAATGTTAGAATGGAAACTAAATTCTTGCTATCTCTGCTTTAATGTCTACATGTCTGTAATTCAGAAAGGAAGTCACCACTCATTGTTAGAGTATGTAATATTTCCCTGTTGGCCAGATACGGTGGCATGCACCTACAATTTCAGCTACTATGGAAGTTGCAACCTTAGCTACTCAGGAGGCTGAAGGCAGGAGTTCTAATCTAGCCCATCTCTGAAAAAAATAAAAATAAAATATTTCCCTACCTCAGGATGGTGTCGCTAAATTAGGTTATAGAATCTCTTAAAGGAGCTCTATTCTAATTGGCTTAGAAATAAATAACCATTTATATAAACCAAATATTTCCCAAATTCCCAGAAGTTGAGGAAATTGAGCCTTAAACACTTTTACTGTAGGGGAAAAAGCTGTCTCTTGTAGGAACATAACTCAGAGACAATAATTCAAGTTCACAAAATCTAGGTAAATGTTTGGCAAACAATATTTAACAATAATTATTATTTTGATAATCAATTAATGAGGTTGATTTAGTAAAAATAGCTGTTTTCTCTGAGTTTTTAGTGTTAAATATAACACAAGTATGCTTCTATTCTACTTGTGAATGTTCTTCCTAAACTTAGATTTACCAACCAAATAACCTAGCATTACTTCTACTTAATGTTTAATACAATAGAAAATAAAAATTTGTGTTTAAGCAAATTGAGTCATTATTCTAACAAACTTTCAATGGTACTAATATTTTGGAGCATGTCAGCCTGAAGACAAATTCCAAGATATTTGGTAATTTAAAACCTTGGATTGAAGCTAAATTGAATTAATTAATGAATATTAATTGGATATTTATGTAATTTCTATGCAAGAGAGAAAAGTGAAATATTGGTAACCAAGCATAATTTTAAGTTTATATACTTTTTTGCCTTTTGTTTCTATATGCTATAGAGAAGCATGTACATTCAGTTTTGTTAATAAATGTGTTCATTTTTGCCACTTTGCATAAGTCGTGCTGTAAATAATATGCATGGCTATTAAAAGTTGTGAGATGTGTATTCATGAGTTCCACTAGTGTGTTACAAAAAGCTTATGTATGACAGAAAGATCACAATTATCCATTTCCCTTTTTTCTTTGTGCAACAGATGTTACTATTTCTATTTAAAAATTATAATCAATATACATGAATGAGATTCTACAAGGCATAATAATAGCAGAGAGATACAATTTTGTATGCAAGGTTTGCAGAACATGTTTTTGTTAAGAAAAAAATAGAGTCATTTTATTCTGAAGTCATATAGCTAGTTGTTAATGTGTAGGACAAAAGCTGAATAGACGTAGAAAGTTGTAAAACGCTTGTGGGAAACAAACTTTGCTGTGGTCAGTGCTAGCTAAGGCTTGATGAATTCATTTATAAGATTTCAAAAAGATCTTTAATATCAAATGCCATAATGATGCAAAGTAGAATTTAATTTTGCCTCTGTTTAAAAACATAACATTTTCTTGACTTCTTAGTCTACTCTTAATAATATTTTTTCTTTACCTTCTGAGTAATCTGCCTAGAAGGCAAAGATTCCATGTCTTAAAATAACTTCCTATATTGTGTATTGAGTTTATCACGTCCTTGCTTATTTAATAAAGTCTTCTCCCTTTTGAAAAAGCTAAGATTCTTTACAATCATGTTACTGCCTGTGCTTACTTTTTCACTCTTTTTGCTGTCACCTTAGTTAAGGTAGCAAAGTATTGTTTATCAGTAACTCACGACCGTATCCTAGTAAAGTGTCCCAATCTCCTGACAACTTTTGATATTTTCCCTCCCAAAACTGATTCCTAAGTGATATCTATTGCATCTGAAACTGTCTTTGATATCTCCCAGAGGGCCTTTGAAAATCACAAAGGATTTGTTATTTCACCTTATGAAAAGAAAGTTGCTGAAAAGAATTAGGTTTATTTGATATGTTACTATTTACAAATTGCACGGGAGTCATTGCCAACTCAGAAGAGATGCTTAACCTTCCCTAGGACAAATCTGTATGGGCAGAATGTTATCAGTATAAATATTTCAGAAATTGTATGCTGTATGGAAAATTCCTAGAGAGTCATCAAAGGCTTTTATGTCCATAACGTGTTTTTCTTTGAGTCCCGATGTCACTTTGCCCTGTTATTAGAGAGCACCACATGAGTCATAAGTTTCAGTTATTTTTAAAATGTTAACTTGGTAACAACTTTTATTCGTTAATTTCAAATTAGCTTCTTCTAAGCCAGTGCTTTCCTTTTTTTTAAAAAAAAACTGTAAATTGACAATTTATGATATTGTAAGTATATGGGGTACAAAGTGATAATATGATTTATGCCTACCATGTGGAATAATTAAATTGAGCCAGTTAACGACATCACTTCAAATACTAGTCATTTTGTTGTGTGAGAACATTTGAAATTTACTCTTCCCAATTTTGAAATGTACAACACTTTATTATTAACTACACTTACCACACTGTACACTAGAACTCAAAAAACAAAAACAGATTCCTCCTAATAAAGATTTTATAGCCTTTGACCATCACCTCCCCATTCCCTCCACCCCCATCCCCTGTAACCGCCATTCTATCTGCTTCGAGTGTGATTATTTTAAGATTCCTCATGTAAGTGAGAACATACTATCTTTGTTTTTCTGTGCCTATAAGCCAGTATTTTTCAAATGGAGATTCTTGTGATAAACACTCCTTACATCTTTCACGTTTGAAAATGATTTTTCAAAGTAATTTTTAAGGCTTTTGTCATTTACAAATAGAATTTTGCTTTGTGGTGCTTCCCTGAAAGCTCTTACAAATCTAGCTGTAGTGCTTTGTCTTAACAAAGGATTATCTCAGAGCCCCATGGCAAAGCTCTATGCCAGGTACTTTTCATTTGGGGCAGAAGCTTCTGATGCCGTCACTTACACAACCTTGAGACCATACCAGCAGACTGAGTCAGGATTTCCAGAGCCCTGTTTGGAGAGGCAGATGTATGCATGAAACTGTTAAGCCAAGAGGAAGCAGAGCAAGAATTACACAGGACTGAAGGAACTGATGAGGAATGACTGTAGCTTTTGTTTGGAATATTGCTGATATTTTAATGGTTGATTTTTTGGACATAGGAAACTTCTTTCTATTTTCTCTTAAACTAACTGAAACTCATAACAATTCAGAAGTCTATGCTTTGCAAATATAAATGAAACATTTGTCATTGGTATCTTTTTCTTCCTGCCTGACTGTTAGAGAAATCAGAAATTCTTACTGAGTATTCTCATTATATTTCAAAATTATAGTTATTTGCATAGGTTCAATAAAACTCTTCCTTGTTTGCATGAAATATTGGAAACATTAGGTATGCTCATTTAAAGCCCTCTTGGGAAAATCAGCCTGATTCCTGGCTAATGAGGTGCCCAAATTTACAGGTAAAGGATACTTCCTCGCAGGCTCAGAAAACTTGAGATATTTTTGGGACCTCTAAAAGAGAGGCATTTACTGAAATTTATAGATACTGTAGGTAAATCTGTTGGTGAGTTCTTGATATAGCTTCCTAGCCTCAAGTGGTTTTTAAAAATTCAATTTGAGATTCCTTATGAAAACTTTCAGCAAAGCAAATATAAGAAACCCTATGTAGTGAATTATCATCTTTAAGACAACAATGTAAATAATCAGGCCAAATCTGATGGTACTAGCTTTATTTTGTGATCAAGAATAATCTTTCTTTGAGATTATTTTTGATCAAAAGAGGGGTGACTATAGAGAGAAATGTTTTGTTTCAGTGGAAAACTATAGCAAGCAGCTCCTTCCTGTTTATCAGATTGTAGACATAATTATCTCTTAGCCATATTATACAGTTTCATAAATTGCAGGTAACTGATACATATGCAAATTCTGACTTGTCTGGAATGATTTAAATGACTTCCCCTCCTTTGTGGAAAAAGCAGTTTGGACACCTTCCTAAAAATTGAACTGGATCCTGTTATCTTGCCCAAATTGTTAATTTGTACCAAACTGTGAAGCCTTCCAGTTTGCTTCAATATCTGGCTACAACCCTACAAATTAATGTTTCCAATTTTTCTCTCTTTCCCTAACTTGATGTCACTGAAAAATAACATCTGATTGCCCAGATTCCTGTTGGAACTCTAGGTTGTCTAGCAGCTAGCTCTTTTCTCCAGGAGTTGAAGAAATTCTGCCAGCTGAAGTCCAACTACTTGATTCAAACTTTGAAGAACTCACCACTGCAGCAGATTACACGCAGGCCAGACTTTTCCCTGCACAAACCACTGTCTGAGCCCCTAACAAATTCTGGTGAAAAGCTCAGGTCCTTCATTCTCTTAGAGGAAAGCTAACCGAGACTGAACATCATCAAGAACATTGACATCCTAGCTTCAAGAAACTCAACGAACGGTACTGTGTAACTGAAAGATTTTCCCCACCCACCTTTTGGAATTTGCTGGACTGGTATGCTCAGGGTTAAACTCTGGTCTTTAACATAATCTTTGATATTAATGTTTTTCATTTTAAATACTTCTCTTTTAAGGAGCCTGATCTCTATGACTTTGAAACAACTGGCCTTTGCCACTACTTCTCAACAGCTGGTTTAGGTGATGTTACGACAATAATGCCAACAAGAACTCTTGAGAGACTATTTCTTAGACCCTGCTCAGTCTTACTCAGGTTTCTGATGATCACCTCTATGTTGTTCAGCATCCTATAATGTTTATTGATCTGAAGTAGAAGTGGGGACTGAAAATGTTGAATGTGACCTAATCCCTATGCTTCTAGAAAAAAGTGGTGGTTAAGAAATCCCTTAAACTTTTTGTTCCCCTATATCTATAAAACCCTGCTTCCCTTTCTTTTGAGACATTCCTCATTAACTGCAATAGTTTGGATAAAATAATCTCTTTAATTTCCTGATTGTACACTGACTTTGACAATACCATTCTACTTCTCAAATATAGTCCCTGCTTTGGTTCATTACCTAGGAACAACTATTTTACATAAATTGTGACTGGTTTTCTCTTCTACCAAGACTCAATATTTAGATTTTGGACTCGATAATTTCTAAATATAAATATGCAAAGACCACTTCTCAGCCTCAACGCTCCTAAGGAATGATCTGAAAATCACTTTTCTTGGAAAGAATCTGCCAACATGTGGAATATAAAGATAGCAAGTCTACGTTTTTCAATATGTTTTATGTATCATATAAAAGAGTTG
Organism: Homo sapiens; assembly: GCF_000001405.40. NCBI lineage: Eukaryota > Metazoa > Chordata > Mammalia > Primates > Hominidae > Homo > Homo sapiens. The sequence continues at coordinate 32,244,162 of NC_000008.11, read as the reverse complement.
GCAATACATGAAGAAAAAAACAACATGTCTGCTGAACATGAGGATCAAATAAATTTGATTGCTGAGCACTACCAATGGGATCCACATTTCCTAAAAGTCCTGGAGCAAACGGCCATGTCATATATTGCCTGTCTTAGTCAGCTCAGGCAGCTATAACAAAATACCATAGACTGCGTGGCTTAAACAATGAACGTCGATTTCCTGCAGTTCCAAAACCTGAGAAATCGAGGATCAATGTGCAGGAAGACTTGGTGTATGATAAGGGCCCATTTCTTGGCATGTGGATGGCCATTCCCTGTTGCATTTTCAGGTGGCAGAGAGAGAGGAGGCTTTGGCCTTTTTTTCTTCTTATAAGGGTGCTAATTCCAACACAAGCACTTCACTCTCCTGACCTCATCTAAACCTATTAAAGCCTCACAGACGCCCCATCTCAAACACCGTCACAGTAGAGATTAGGCCTTCAAGATATGAATTTCACAGGCATACAAAAGTTTAGTCCACAGCATTGCGTATGAAGTCTGGTTCATACCTCAGCATGACATCTTACTACTATGTGCTATGGATTTGAATTCTGCCCCCCTCAATAAAGATAAGTTGGAGTGTTACCTCCCAGCACCTCAGAATGTGATATAATTTAGAGATAGGGTCTTTACAGAGCTCATCAAGTTAAAATGAGTTCCATAGGGTGGGCCCTAATCCAATGACTAATGCCCTTTTTTTTTTTTTTTCTTTTGAGACAGAGTCTTACTCTGTCACCCAGGTTGGAGTGCAGTGGCATGATCTCAGCTCACTGCAACGTCTGCCTCCTGGGTTCAAGCAATTCTCATGCCTCAGCCTCCTGAGTAGAAATAGCTGGAACTATAGGCATGCACCACCATACCTAGCTAATTTTTGTATTATTTTGCAGAGACACGTTTCACCATGTTGGCCAGGCTCGTCTCGAACTCCTGGCCTCAAGTGATCTGCCTCTCTCAGCCTCCCAAAGTGCTGGGATTGCAGGTGTGAGCCATTGTGCCCAGCAATGACTAATGTCCTTTTAAAATGGAAAAATTTGGACACAGAGACAGACATGCATAGAGGAAAAAATGACATGGAGAGACACAGGGAGAAGACAGACATCTACAAGCCAAGGAGAAGGACCCAGAACAATCTTTCCCTTGCAGCCCTCAGAAGGAACCAAAGCTGCCAACACTGTGATTTTGGACTTTTTGACGCCAGAACTGTGAAACAATGCATTTCTGTTGTTTGAGCCACCTGGTTTGTGGTACTTTGTTACAGAGCCCTAGCAAACCAATACACTGGATAACCTTGAGCAATATATTAAACTCTTTAAGTTTTAGTTTCCTTATATGATAAATGAGGACAGTATGCATCGCATAAACTGGTTGTAAAAAATTAATATAAAAACGTAAGAGCCTGGGACTTGTAATTGCTCAATAAAATAACTAATGGTAAGATTATCATGGCTATTTACTTCTGATTCAGAGGACATCTGCTGAAATATTAGGTTGGTGCAAAATAATTGTGGTTTTTGTCATTTTAATATGATCAACAAATAAGATGATTAATAATCACAGTCATCTCTACCCTCCTTCACATCTTCACCGCCACTATTTGAGAACTTAAGTGTCAGACACTGCACTAATTATTTTAGACGTGTTCTTATTTTTCTTTTTCTTTTTTCTTTTTGAGATGGAGTCTTGCTCTGTTGCCAAGTCTGGAGTGCAATTGCACGATCTCGGCTCACTGCAACCTCCGCCTCCCGGGTTCAAGTGATTCTCCTGCCTAAGCCTCCTGAGTAGCTGGGATTATAGGCGCCCACCACCACACTCCCCTAATTTTTGTATTTTTAGTAGAGACAGGGTTTCACCACGTTGGTCAGGGTGGTCTCGAACTCCTGACCTCATGATCCAGCTGCCTTGGCCTCCCAAAGTGCTGGGATTACAGGCATGAGCCATTGTGCCTGGCCTAGGCGTGTTCTTATTAATTCTCCCAATAAACCCTGCAATTTAGGCATTATCTTCTTTTTACATATGGGGAAACTAGAGCTTACATTAGTTGTTGGTCAAATTAAGACTTCTCGTAAGTAGCAAAGTTAAAATAGAAACAATGCCTGGTGTGGAGGCTCACACCTGTAATCCCAACACTCTAGGAGGACAAGTCTGAAGGATTTCTTGAGGCTAGGAGTTTAAGATCAGCCTGGGCAACATAGCAAGACTTGTCTCTACAAAAAATTTTAAAAATAGCTGGGCACCTGGGACCTGTAGTCCCAGCTACTCAGGAGGCTGAGGTGGGAGGATTGCTTAAGCCCAGGAGTTCGAGGCTACAGTGAGCTACGATTGCACCACTGCACACTCACTCCAGCCTAGGTGACAGAGCAAGACGCCGTCTCAAAAAAAAAAAAAATGTGGCATTTGATGCCAAAGCAAGTACATTACACTGCTCTGCCCAGGACAACATTTCTATTTTAGAAACATTAAAGAAAACTGTAACAATGAACCCTAATGGGATCTCATACAATGTCAAAGGATTTAATTTGTTAATTCATTTTGAGATCTCCATATAGATAACTTTTTGCATTTCATTGGTTCTTTGACTACTCTATTGCACGCCAATTGTGCAGTACATTTTGGAGCTTATGTGTTGTGTTGATGGATTTTTCTGGGATAATACTTTCTACAAATGTGATGGATATGCAATCCGAGGCTTTGTAAATTAACTCAGTGACACACTCTTGAGCCCACACAGATGAATAATCAAAAAGAACATTCTTACCAGCCAACATACTGAGGGGGAAGGAAACTATACAAATAAAGAGTTGTAAATATAGAGAATTCTTAAGTAATTTATTGCATTGCATTTTACTTAGAAATTTCTTGAGACAGTTTCAAATTGTGACTCTCAGATGTTCTATGGCAGTAGTTTCCAGAGTGTGGTCTGACCAGCAGCATCAGCACTGGAGTCAACATCACATGGGAACTTTCTAGAAATGCAGATTCTTGAACCACACCCACCACCCCCAGACCTAGTGAATCAGAAACTCTGTGGTTGCAGGGCAGAAATTTTTGTTTAAACAAGCCCTCTGGGAATCTGATGCATGCTGAACTTTGAGAACCACAGATTCACATAATCGCTCCAGAGTCCCATCTTTCCTTTTTCTGCTGGCTTGTATTGCTTTTTTAAAAAGGGTATGTACTCTCCTGGAGTCTCAGGTACCCCCCATTCTCCTTCTCTTGCAACATTTTCTCATTGACTAAGCTTTGGATAGGAAGGAAAGAGTGGTCAGTTAAAGCTTATTTTTCTCATATAATTGATTAAATCTCAAAATAAAAAATCTGAAAGAGTCTCTAAAATTCTTCCTTTACAAAACTTTTTTTATCTTGAAATAATTATGGATTGACAGGAAATTCTAAAAAAATGTATAGGACAAAGCATTTTTTTTTACAATTTCCTGTGAATCAATAATTCACAGGACAATAGTACAATGTTACTATTTTCCCCAATAGTAACATCTTGCCAAACTACACTTCAATATCATAACCAAAGATTTGACATTTACGGAATCCACCAAAATAAGTTTCTCTGGTCTTATATGCACTCATATGTGTATGTGTGTGTTTGTGTGTGTATTTGGTTCCATCAAATGTTATCACATATGTAGATTCACGTGAACACCAGCAATGAGGATACAGAATAGCTTCCTCACCAGGATCCCTGGCGCAACGTTTTTATGGACACACACACCTCCCTCCCTCCTCTACTCTCTGACCCCTGGAAACTACTAATCTGTTCTCCATTTCTATATTTTTGTCATTTCAAGAATATTATATAAATAAAATCACATCACATGAAATCTTTTGTGATTGGCTTATTTTTAGTTAGCACAATTCCCTTGAAATTCATCCATGGTTTTGTCTGTATCAATAGCTCATTCCTTTTTTATTGCTTCATAGTATGTCATAGTATAGCTGTGCTACAGTTTGTTTAACCAGTCACTGATCTAAGGATATTTGGGTTGTTTCCAGTTTGGGGCTTTTACAAATAAAACAGCTATTAATATTCATGTACAGGTTTTTACTGAGTCTAAGTTTTTACTTCTCTGGGATAAATGTCCAAGAGCACAACTGCTGAATCATATGGTAAATACATGTTTAGTTTTATAAGAAGCAAGCAAATTGTTTACAGAGTGTACCATTTTACATTTCCATCAACAATGTATGAGTGATCCAGTTTCTCCACATCCTCTCCAGCAATTGGTATTATTACTCTTTTTTACTTTAGCCATCCTGATAGGTAGATAGTGCTATCTCATTGTTTTAATTTGCATATTCCTAATGGCTAATGATATTGAACATCTTTTCATGTGCTTATTTTCCATCTGTATATCATCTTTGGTAAAATTTCTGTTTATGTTTCTTGCCCATTTTCCTAATTGGATCGTTTGGATTTTACTGTGGAGTTTTGAGAGTTCTTTATACTCTCTAGGTACAAAATCTTTCTTGAATATGTGGTTGGCAAATGTTTTCTCCTGCTCTGTAGTGTTTCTTTTAATTCTTTACACAGGGTCTCTTACAGAACAAAAGTTTTAATTTTGATGAGGTCCCAGTTGATTAAAATGAATTTTAAAATTCATTGAAATTCATTTTAAAATTCATTTAAAATGAAAATCATACTTTTAGTATCAAGTCTAGAAGTTCTTCACCTAGCTTTAGGTCCTCATCATTTTCTCCTGTTTGTTTCCTAAAGTTTTATTGCTTAACATTTTATGTTTAAGTCTGTAATCAATTTTGAGTTAATTTCTGTATAAGATGTGAGAAATGAATTTAGGCACTTTTTTTTTTTGCCTTTGGATATCCAATTGCTCCAGTATCACTTTTTTTTTTTTAAAGCTCATCTTTCCTCCATTGAATTACTTTTGCATTTTTTGTCAAAACTCAAAGTTAGGCATATTTGTTTGTCTCTGTTTTAAATTAAGCTTGTTTTTAGATTGAGCTTTTTAAAAAAAAATAAATTAAGCTATATCCTAAGAAATTCTTACTGCTCTGTTTCATCAGATTTAGAGTAGTGGGTGAAGAAACCAAGGAATAGAGAGTTTAAGAGGCTTATTTCTGGCCACATAGCTAACAAGTTGAAGAACAACCAAAATTGAAACCTGTTAATTTCCAGAATAGTCTTCTTTCCCCTTCACCTCTGTGTTTTTCTCCTCCAGTTGCCAAGTTTCTGCGTGAAAAGTATGTCTCTGTTAAGAAGTAAATAGCATCTCCCTGTTCAATTCAGGCACATCCTCAGCCTGGTCACTGTTTTTGGCTGCCAAGTTCAGTGATTTCTGTAGGACCTACCATGAGTTCTACCAAATTTAATAAAAACCTCTTATCTTAATGTAATGATTTAAAATTACAAACTAATTAAAAGGAAACTGGGAGAAGTGTGGTAAGCTTCTGAAACAACAAAAAAAGTGGATGTAAGTACAACTGATAACTTTGTCATCTCTACAAGCAAATGATTACAGTGGGTTTAGACCCAGAAGCAACCTATCAGTTTGCTGATTACTGCTGCCCTGAAGACTATGCAAGAATGGTATCCTCTCTCTCCCTTCAGCCAAGGACACCTGAGCCTCAGTAGTCTTAATACTTGACCTTGATACTTCTGTAATATGGTGACACTATGCTGATAGAGGAAATGAGTTTTATCCTTCCTAAAGGTTTTTTTTTTTTTTTCTTTTTGAGAAAGAGTCTCTATTGTCCAGGCTGGACAATCTTGGCTCACTGCAATCTCCGCCATGTTCAAGCGATTCTCCTGCCCCAGCCTCCCAAGTAGCTGGGACTATAGGTGCATGTCACCAAGCCCAGCTAAGATTTTTAGTAGAGACAGGGTTTCACCATTTTGGCCAGGCTGGTCTCAAGAACTCCTGACCTCAGGTAAACTGTCTGCCTCTGCTTCCCAAATTGCTGGGATTACAGGCATGAGCCACCACGCCTGGCCCCCTCCTAAAGGATTTTTTAATTTTTGAGCAAGCACAGATTATTATACCTGTATTTATTTCCTCACCGACTACACACCGAATCAGATAGCCCTTGGAGCAAAACTGACAAGAAAGCTTTATTTTTTCAAACTGAAACCACAGTACTGATTGCAAAAGATAACCCTACTTTGGCAATTGCTGTATTTGTTTGCAAATTTGCAGAGTGTTTATTTTTTCCATGGATATTTGCCTAGATATGTATCTCAGGCTTTCAAAGATGGTCTTATAAATAGTTAGTGAATTGCTTAAATAAAATGCAGGAGGAAAAACTCATGGAAGTAACTATAAAAGTCATTGATTCTGAAAAATTAACACAGCCAAGCTGAACAGTCCAAGCCCAAGTCAAAAACGAAATGATAACAATAACCAGAAAGACTCAGTGAGAAACCAAAAAGAGGCAGTAAGAAACCATAAGCTGTGGTTTCAATTGATGTTTCTAGGTGGTAAGCAGATCCACTTATCAACTCATAACTCAGCGCTTATTGTCTACTTAATAGACTACTAAAATAGAATCCTCCTCCGGTAGCAGAAAAGACTTACATACTTATCTCTGGAAAACACAATCACCTTCTATTCAAAACTGCCTGACTAGGAAAAATAAGCTAGTTTTGTGTGCCCTTGCAGTCCACCAAATCACGGGGAAAAAAAAACCCTCAAATGCACAAAGTTTCAGAGCAAAGGCATTAGAAGTAGTTAAGTAAGAGATGTAAAAGAATGTAATAAAATGGACCCAGAAAAAAAAAGCAATTCTCTGGTTTTCATTATGTTCCAGGGGATGTTGGAAATTATAGCAATGCAGGGCTAACACAAAAACTCAAAAGAAAGTGGACATAATGAAGTCTTTCACGAAATATATCTAGCAGGAAACATATAGAGCTTTGCAATATGTTTTGCTCTCTTTCAAGAACTTGGAAAATTTGGGAAGCTTTACACTGAGTTAATATTCAGATAAGGGAATGATTAAGTGCAGTAGAGGGAATGAAATCCTTTCAAAGATAGACAACAAATAATGTATGTAGTCTACTTCTCCTGCACCTGATATAAAGTGCAGAAAGATTTTAGAAAACAGTTTAAGGAGGCGATCCCTGAAGGCTGAAAGGATAGTGTGGCTTGTTTTGTTTTTTTGTTTTTGTTATTGAAGTTTTATCATTCCCATCTTGAGTGTTGGGTTCGCGGTACATCTCTGTTATCCTGCACCGTGATAGCATCACACTCATCTTGGAGTCAGCTGTACATGAAAAACAGCAGTTGGAGCATCTACTTAGGATGTCTGATAGATGTTTCTCACAGGGCTGCATCTGACTGCCAGAATGTTCACATTAGCTGAAGGGGACAGCCAAAGTAATCCTTCAGGTTAACTGTGATTCCCACATTTCTCCTGCATTTCCTTCCTGCCTCTTTCTCCTCTCAAGCACCACACATGTTAAGAGAAAAGTGTTCTATGTTTGGTCTTATTCCCCATGAAGAGGAGCTGAAATGTTTCTTTTTTTTGAGCAACGAGTAAGCTGAGACAAAGAAAACAAATTTAATTGCTGCTTGGAGAGGAAAGTGAACTGATGATCTAATAACCCATTTCCATCCCTACTATCCAGACTCCAATTCATGGCTTAAGGACCAAAAGAACTCACTTTGTCTTTATGGTGCTCTCATCTGCATCAGTCCAGAAGGGTAATACTACTACTCATCAATAAAGTTTAAATTCCTTCACACTCTGTTCAATATTTATGTTATTTTTCACGTTTCTAGAGCAGATATAGTATTTATAGATAGAAAGAAGGAAGTTGTATGCAGCAGGGAGTAGAGGAAAGGAATTTAGAAATTTGTCAGCGTTTTCTTTAATATCATAATTTGATTTTCCCCCCCAGGTTTGATTCCAGGGCTAAATTGTCTCAAAGGCAGAGATACACTTGCAGGGTGGGGCAAGACCTTTTCATTCCAAAAAACGATGTCATTCACTTCAGAAAAACAAAAAACAAACACACACACACACATTCACACACACACACACACATACACACACAAAAACAAAAAAATCTTAATCCTTATGGTGGGAAACAGGATTCTGATAGTAGACTCTGTATTTTAGCTCAAAAAACATTATACTTAACTTCTTGCTCTCAGCCTCACTCAGAGAAGTGAGTTTAGTAATTTCATTTGCTTGGAAGTTGAACAGTTCTGATTCTGAGACTTGATGTCAACGGTCATCAAACATTAATTTGCCTTTGAATCTTGTTAAAATGCAGTTATCTGTTCTTCAACTATAGGTATTCAGTAAGTGATTCAAGGACTACCTTTTGAGAATCACTAATCCCCAAGTGGCCCTAAACAGATTTTTTTGTTAGCCCTGAATTGAGCCAAACTCCTAGAACCAAATCTAGATCACTACAATATTTTTGAAAGTGTTAACTTTAACCACTGCACCGAAATCTGAGTGACCAACTATTCCAGTTTGCCTAAGACTGAAAGTCTCATGCCCTGGGGAACCCTTCAACCCCAGGCAAACCAGAATAAATATTAAATATAAATTCAAAGTCATCTGAAAATCTCATTAAAATGACCCCTTCTGGTCTCATCCTAGACTTACCAACTATAATGGGATGGGGGCTCAGAATTTGTATTTTTTTATAAGAAGATGCTATTTATGTAAACAGATGTTTGAGATTCACTGATATGGAGACTCTGTTAGCCATGACCTTCAGTTTGTCAGCCACTGGCTCTCCAAACCATACAGCTGTTTTTCATTTTTTGGAGACAGAATCTTGCACCCTAGGGTAGAGTGCAATGGCATAATCTCAGCTCAATGTAACTCTGCCTCTAGGGTTCAAGCGATCCTCCCACCTCAGTCTCCCAAGTAGCTGAAACTACAGGTTCATGCCCGGCTCTTTTTTTTTTTTTTTTTTTTTTTTTTTTGTAGAGATTAGGTTTCATCATATTGCCCAGGCTGGTCTCAAACTCCTAGGCTCAAGCAATCCTCCTGCCTTGGCCTCCCAAAGCACTGGGATTACAGGTGTGCGGCATTTGTTTTTCAAACAGTCAATCAGCAGTTCTTTATTAAGGACCAAAACATGTTTCATCCTTCTTTGTCTGACTTTGAGGGCTCTGACAGGGTGCTGTGCTAACCGGGGAGAAAAATACTCAATTAGAACCTACTGCTTGAATGGTTCTAAGACTATTAATTAATTCTTACAACATACTTGTCCTGGAAAGAAAAATGAGACATTGAATAAAAACCTCTTATGTATGAGATTAAGAATCAAACAGAGGTGGGGTATGAAGGAGGGAAGATTTCTATGAGCGAGAATTAATATAATTAGTATCAGAAAGCAAATATAATATCAAAGCACACAGTTGGTCAGTAATGACTCTGGGAACAAAAACCACATTTCCTCACTCTCCAACCTGTTTATTTCACAACTAACACAGGATGAGTATATCAAGTTTTTGAGGAGGCCCAGAATTTACATTCCATTGACATCCATACTTTCTGCCACATTTAATATTTTTATTGTGAAGTCACTGTCCTATTCCTTTTGTGGATTTCAACTTTATTCCAAAATCTTGTTCAATTAAATGGGAAGAATATGGAATGTAGAGCGAGCAAATATGGATTTAATCTAAGTCTACCATTATCTAAAGTTGTGATATTGGACAAGTAACTTCTTAGCTTATGGGAGGCTCAGTTTTCTAAACTAAAACCTAGGATAGCAAACTATTATGAGGATTAAATCTGATAATATATATGGAATTGTTGTGAAGGTTAAATCTGATGATATACATGCATGATTGCTCATAAATGCAGAGTATCTAGCCAATGTCAGTGAGAAATCATAGAAGATTTTCCATTGCTCTAAAGAGCTGTTTCTTTCTTGGTTTTCTTCATTTTCGTTAAAATTAAGGCCTGTAAATACCTGTGATTAGAGTGTAAATGTACATAAAGGTAGGAAGTTAGAAAGAGAAAGATTTTGGCAACCTTCAATCTTTCCATAAGTTTTCAAATCATCTTGATCAATTTCTCTTGCATGTAAATTTCAGTGATAATTCTGTTTATGAATTTCATTTGCAAGCAAAAATCAATACAATAATTTTAATACTTTCACAGTTAAGCCAGTACACACATTTATAAAACTGAAGTTCTGTGGCAAAACTAAGCCACTGAAATAAAAATCTGGACATGTTTCAGACATTCCTTAATGAAACACTTACACAATAAAATCCAACTATTAGGGATAGGTTCTACTGCTTATATGAACACATAAGGTTTATACTATTCTTTTGAGGCTGGATGCAATGGCTCACACCTGTAATCCCAGCACTTTGGGAGGCTGATGGGGGGGTGGATCACGAGATCAAGAGATCGAGGCCAACCTGGCCAACATGGTGAAACCCTATCTCTACTAAAAATATGAAAATTAGCTGGGCATGTTGGCTCATGCCTGTAGTCCCAGCTACTCAGGAGGCTGAGGCAGGAGAATCACTTGAACCCAGGAGGCGGAGGTTGCAGTGATCTGAGATCGCACCACTGCACTCCAGCCTGGTGACAGAGTGAGACACCGTTTCAAAAGAAAAAAAAAAAAAAATATATATATATATATATATATATATATTCTTTCGAGTTATGAGCAACAGTGTGTCACTTTATCCCTTAACAGATGTTGCCATAATATATTTGCATACTTTTATAGCCTTTTCATATGTGAAAGTACATTATTGGTATTTATTTATAATGTACACTCATGGCTGGGTGTGGTAGCTCACGTCTATAACATTTTGGGAGGAGGAGGTGGGAGGATTGCTTGTGTCCAGGAGTTCAAGACCAGCCTAGGCAATATAGTAAGACTCTATCTCTACAAGAAATAGGAAATTTTTAAAAAATTAGCCAAGCATGGTGGCACACACCTGTAGTCCCAGCTACTGGGGAGGCTGAAGTAGGTGAACAGCTTGAGCCTGGAAGGTTGAGGCTGCAGTGAGCCATAATTGCACCACTGCACTCCAGCATGGGCAACAGAGTGAGACCCTGTCTCCAAAATACTACTACTACTAATAATAATATACACTTCAAAGGAAATGTGAAGTAGTATGCAACTTAAATAAATGGAGGTAATAAGATGGCATACATAGAAATGCAATTTTGTAAGTCATGACTTAAGAGAAGTAAATAAAATTAACTACCATGAATTAGCTATATAATTAGCTGTTGGTGACCTAGTCATGTAGATAAGAGTAGAAATGATAATGAATTCCATAATTATAATATATAAAGAGAATAGATAACAGTTTTACAGGAGAATCCAGCTTTTTGGGGAAAAAAGTACAGAAGAAATTTATCATGGAGGTTTTTATGTAAGGGATCCTGAGTAATGTTTGTTAGGCAATATCTTCAAATGGGATATACCAGATATGTGGAAATGGCCATTTTCCTATGACCCTTGCTAAAAGCCTGGGATAAAAAGTAAAAGATAGAACCCAGTTAAGGAAATTTCATGACCAGGGACAGCAAAAATCGTCTGAAATGAGAATGTTTGCTAATTCACCTGATATGAGTTATAGGCCATTTTCCCCCTTTCCCTTTGTAGTCTGGGTAGCCAGGTTTCTTTCCCTGTGAAGAAGCACCAGTAATATCCCAGCAACTCTATGCTGGGATGAATTCTACACGTCTATCTACTCTATCCATAAAATTTTCAGGTCCAATTTTTAGGAATTGATCTTACTTTTAAATCATGTATTCTTACTTTTGTTTCATAAAATGTAACCTCAGTATCTATAAGCTGTAGAACAATCAGAGAAACAAAACAAAACAAAACACTACCCATCTTTGCAATTCTGTTGAGCTGTAAAGGTGTTTGTAAGATTCCATGAACTTCCTAGAACTACCTTTTCTTTGGCATAAGAGCATCTTCAATGATTTGAATCATCAAGTTTTTGAAAAATAAATTTTAAGGCCTAGTGCAGTGGCTCACACCTGTAATCCCAGCACTTTGGGAGGCTGAGGTGGGAGGATCACTTGAGGTCAGGAGTTTGAGACCAACTTGGGCAACATGGCAAAACCTCATCTCTACAAAAATTACAAAAATTAACCAGGCATGGTGATGTGCATCTGTAGTCCTAGTTACTTGGAAAGCTGAGGTGGGAGGATTACTTGAGCCTGGGAGGTTGAGGCTGCAGTGAGCTGTGATCATGCCACTGCACTCCAGTCTGGGTAATGGAAGAAAAGAAAAATAACTTTAATTTAATTTTTTTTTTTTTTTTGAGATGGAGTCCTGATCTGTTGCCCAGGCTGGAGGGCAGTGGTATGATCTCGGCTCACTGCAGCCTCCGCCTCTCGAATTCAATTCTGTCTCAGCCTCCCGAGTTGCTGAGACTGCAGGCGCATGCCACCACACTCAGCTAATTTGCTTGTATTTTTAGTAGAGAAGGAGTTTACCATATTGGTCAGGCTGGTCTTGAACTCCTGACCTCAGGTAATCCACCCACCTTGGTCTCCCAAAGTGCTAGGATTACAGGTGTGAGCCACTGTGCCCAGCTGAAAAACAACTTTAATTTAAAGTGCCATATTACAAACAAAAAATTTACATTCAAGGTAGAAAAATCAGAAGATTTGAGACAGCAATATAAACTAAAGAAAGGAATTTAATTCACAATTATTATTAATACCCCAGAGTATATCACATTCAATTTCCCTTTTTATATAAATATGCAAAACCTATTTTTCCTTACAAAGCGGAATAATAATATAATATGCCCTTTGATCTTGTTTCTATCAATTAACAAAATACATGCATTTCTTTCAAGTTAATAATGTTCTATAAAATATATAAATTTATGCCAGAATTGTGATTGAGCCCTGATATACAGCACACAAATTTGATAAATTTAATACATCTAAAAATAGGCTATTTTCTCCTTCAAATTAGTCTCCTATTCAACTCTCCTTTTTTAATTAAAAATACCCTTTTTTTAACCAATTTCCTAGGCAAGAAACCTGAGTCATTCTTTATTCCTTTCCTTTCCTTTCCTTTGCTTCTTCTGACCCATTAGTCAAAAATCCTATTTCTCCTAGTGAATTCATGGAGATAGATAATAGAATGATGGTTTCCAGAGGCTAGGAAGGATAGCCAGCATGGGGAGAAGGTGGGGATGGTTAATGGGTGCAAAAGCATAGTTAGATAGAAAGAATAAGATCTAGTATTTGATAGCACAACAGAGTGATGATACTCAACAATAATTTATTGTATATTTTCAAATAGCTAAAAGAGGAGAATTGGACTGTTTCTAATATAAGACATGATAAATGCCTGAGGTGATGGACACCCCAATTGCCCCGATAAGATTATTATACATTGTATGTATCAAAATTTCACATGTACCCCATGTATATATACACTTATTATGTACCCATAATAATTAAAAATAATTTTTTAAAAGATCCTGTTTCTTAACATCTTTGACACTTCATTTATACTCTTGTTTTTTCTTCCATTTTACTGCAATGACGTGACTCCAGGCCTTTTGGTCCTCTCATTTGGACTGTTATGAGAACCTCCTATCATCTCTTGTTTCTATATTTGATTTATTGACTTTTCTCTGCTCAAAATGTTTTAGTCACTTTCCACTTTCCTCAGGATTAACTTCCCTGAGTTTCCTACTCTCCAATTTCTTCCTTGCCATGGGTGCCCTCTATTTCCATCACTCCTGAGTTCTAGGTTTTAGGAGCAGTAGCCTGAGAAGTGCAGGGGTGGCAGGAAGAGAGCAAAGGTGATGTTCTTGTTGATGACTCATCCAAACAGCCATCTTACTTTAGCAACATTTTAAGGCGTGAGACATTTGTCTTCAACCATTTCCCTCTCTGCAACTTTATCTCTGTCACCTTCCAGGAATTGTTGGCTGCCCCAAGCTGACCTTAGCACACTTTGATTTGGAGAACATTCTCCTTTCTTCTGTTTTCCACAGTTGTAGTTCGTGCTCTTAGTATAGGTAATCTCAGCTAAATGTTGAAAGGAAAGGTATCAGACTTAGCAAATACCCACTAAGCTACCTCCTGAAGCCAGGTAGAATTTCCTGACTAACAATAATATATTCCTCCTAAATATGATTGCTGTTAGTAAAGGGCAAGGTGTGAAAACTTTTAGGCGCGTGTTTGGCTTGGGGTTGGGGAGTGTTTAGGGACAGGAAGGTCAAAGATAGTCTTGCAACCTTTGTCTTGAAGATTGTTCTGGGGCAGGACAGCTATTTCTAATGAGCAGTGCCATCCACCTCTACTCTCAAAAACATTCTGCGTTCTAGTAAGAAAAAAAAATGAAAAAATGTGTCTAGAGAATTCTAAACTGCATCAAACCCAAAACCGACTGGAGTAGAAATTATATGGCCAATGTCTTGGCAACATATTCCTAATTGACTCTTTATTGCTCCTGTCTTGTTAGCAAAGGGAAAATGGTGCTTTTAGGATCTTAAGAAGAAAATGTTGTCTTGGCAGCGTTTTCCGCATTGACTCTGTTTTTTCTCTTTTGTTGGCCAAGGGCAGACGGTGCTTTAAAGATCTTAAAAAGGTCATAAGAGAGAGATTTTAGAACCTGGCAGAGGGTGTCTGTTACAGCCATGGCCTTATCTTGTTTGCCAGAGAGCTGGAAACTGCCTTGAGACCATTGGCCTTCTCCCCATTCCCACACTGCTGGTGCTAAAGCAGGCACACGAATGAGTGAGTATCTCATCTACTCCGGCCCCCTAGTGATGTTGTTCACTCGTTCATCTTGCCCAATCAGGAGAACCCTGACTCACAATATCCTCACAAACCCAAAAGCTGTCAATTTAAAGCTGCCCTGGTAAATGAGTATTTACATCTAGAGTAAAGACACAAAACCTTACATTATTTGCTGTTTCCTGTGGTTGCTATTTTCTTGGCACGCATCATTTCACCTCCTTGCATGATTTTTAGGCCTTGGCACACAACAGGGCTAGTAGCCGTCCAATTCTCTCACTTCGTGGCTGCCAACAGGAAATATCATGCATCTTTCCGGTGCACTAATTGACCTGGTGATGCCAAGGTGTACTGCGACGTTTCCCATTGAAGATAATGCACTCTTTAGGAAGGCTTTTTTTATACCAAGTTGGCACAGGCCTGCTTTGAGATTTTCTGTGTTTCTTGGTGCAGAAAGAGCTATCAAATCATCTTAAGCCTGAGTCAATCATTTGAATTCTTTACCTACACTTCTTTGTAGGTATTTCTTTGGCGGGAAATTCTCTTTGGTTTCACAAACAAGAGACTCAAGTTTATTTCTAAAGAGAACTTTGTGGGATAGGAGGTCGTTTAACTTGGTAAGTATGCACATGCAAATACCTCATATACTAAGATATGACATATGCACAGACACGTATATATGTCACAATTGTGAGAGTTCTTATTTCTTTCATATGGATCTAATTAAATTTACTTCAATTATCTGTGATCAAAAATAGAGTATAATACTCTTGCTTTCTATACAGCATAGTCATTGATAAGCAGTTGCTAATGAGGAAAATCGATTTACTGAACTGACATCCTATAGTGTAGAAAAATCAGGTGTTCTGTATCACACTCACATGTGAAAAATTAAATTAAAAAACTAATAAATGATTCCACCGTGACATTGAAAGTAGAATCATATCACAAGTGGGTATCATCTTTTTTATACTGAAACTAACCAGATACTCACGCTACTATTGAACATTAGAACTGAAAAGTAGTAGAAACATAAAAGGCTTTAGAAGTTATGAAGTTCAACCTATCTCAGTGGGACTCATGAGCTATTAATTACATGGAATTTTTTAAGTTGAAGTTGTTGTTACTAAAATTCAGTTATTAACTTTCATTTGTGAACTTTAAGTGATATTTTTTGGAATAAGAGCAGCAATTCTAATATCCATTTACACTGATAAGTATAGGCCATTTCATTCTATTCTTTACTCAGCTTTGGGGGAAAATAGTAAATATAAGGTATCAATTAACTAATACCAAGAAATTATTGTATAAATACTGCCAATCATAATGGAGAAATCCAAGGATAAATTCACTGTTGCAGTAAAGAAACAAACAAAAAGCTTCCACCAAAGTAGAAAAACAAATGATGGAGGTTAAAGGAAAGACATAATTCTTAATATCTGAGAGAAAGCAAAATAAATATCTATAGACATTATATAACCAAATATTGCTAACAACTTGTATACCTGTATTCCCAGTGTGCTTACTAATTGATACAAACCTCGTATTTCTGAACAGATTTTAGGATAAAATAGATGGCCTAAGCTCTTCTGGTTCACTGCCACTCATTTTTTCTTTTTGTCATCTGGAGGTGGTGATCAGGAATGCTGTGGTGGTTAGAGCACATTCCTAAGAAGCAGGGGGCCAGAAAGAAGGGAGAGGGTCTAAGTATGTATTCTGATGATGGATTTGAGCTTGGTCTCCCCTGGGGAGAAAGACGTTAATGATTCAGGGTGCTCAGCTAGTATAAACTTGACTCATGTGAAAAGTAAGACCAGTATTGCCTTCTCAAGCCTCAGGAAAAGAAATTCCGAAAGGAAAGGAGAAACAGAGAAATGCTTGATTTCATTCACTGCGGCTTGAAAAATGCCAGTTCTCAAAGACTTTAACAGTTTACCTCTAACTTTCCTGTGCAGTTTGGGACTAGACCTTCCAAAAATAGGACAGTTTTTTCTTAAAATAGTTTTTTTCTTAAAATAATCCATGAAAAACATGGTGTAATTTTTAAAAATCTTATACTGTACTACTTAGCATATTTTACCTCACTTAATTGGAATTCCTGCTTTTTTAATGGGATGAATAGATTCATGAAGAAAGAATGCTTATAATGCATTTTATTGCTGTAAATGTGTTAGTCTTTGACTAGTGAATGAACTAAGCACTTCTGCATAGCTTGGAACATGTTACAAAGCTCCTGAGAGTGTTCACCAGACCTGGCTCTTAGAAGAAAGCACAATCCTGTGAGTGAAACACTCCCACAGTTGGAATTCTTGAAATATGTGTCATTTGTCCAAACAGCTCAGTTCAAGAAAACTCCAGAGTAAAAGGAGAAAGGAAGAAATAGCCCTTGCCAGAAATACTCAGACATACTCACTGCCTGTTTCAGAATTTTTACCCAAAATACTACTTTCTCAAACAATAAACAAAATTATGCCAAGTGAATATGAGTTGCTGCATGGACATTTGTAGGACACATTCTATCTCTATACTGTGATGTAAGGATAGAACAAATAGAAATCAGCAGTGAGCTGAGTTATTGTTCTACATTTAAGAACTTCCTTCCTCTTTTGTTGTGAAGTCAAAACAACTTGACATTTTGACAGGGAAAATGTATTTCCCATACAGTGCAGCCAGATGACAAAAAATTGCATGCAAAATTATTTCTCCCATTCTCATGTTTGCTGTCCTGTGATACTTTCATCAGAAAAGCTTTATAATCAAATGCTATGCCCCAGGAAAAGAGCCATGGGCCAAAAATGGAAAGCACTTTTTAATCACCAAAGAGGAGACAAACTTTCCAAACGTTATCTTTAACAGTTTCATCTAATGATTTGGAATATTTTTTTAGAAAAAAAGGACTGGAACCAGAATTTTTTTTTCTAATTTAGGCAAGTTCAAATGCCAGAAAAAGACAAGTTTCCTAAAGCAATGTACCCTTTAACACTCATCTTGAAACATGTATTGAAATAAAGTAGGTACAAATTGAGAATAGTAGTTACCCAAAATGTCTGCCAACCAGAACACACATACGTAGCGAGCCCTTGGCAATATGCAGAAAGTGGATAATGAGCTGGCTGCATAATTTTATGCCAAATTTGAGTAATAGATGTTCTAAGTTTGAAAATGTGCTGATTGAAGGGAAAAAATAGCTTTAACTAGTTTCATATCAAGAGCCGGAAATATTGGTAGAAAAAGTTGGCCAAATCAGATCTAATGTTTAGTAAATCTTTGGGGACATGGAAATATAAAGTCAAATGTTCCATTTATAATTTTGCTTCAGTGAAATATTCTCTCTGCAGATTCTCTACCGGAAACAGTAAGGAATCTAGAGCCATATCTTCAGTCCTCAATGCAACAGGTTCTTGAACAGGTTCACATGAAGAATTTTTAAAAATTATTTATAAAGAGAAGTGAAATGTATAGAATCTGAAAGCTAAGGAGAGAATCAAACCATGGAAGGAGAACAACTACAAACTCAGGAGAGCTAAAAATAAAGACTAAAGGTAGGAAGACTAGGAGGTAGGAAACTGACTAATTATGCAATTTATTTAGACTCTTAAAACCTTTTGAAAAAATCATTTTAATAACACACTCTACACTTTCCCCATCTTCAGTTTTTAGACACTGCTGCAGTGAAACGAAATTTCCCTGTGGTGTCATGTCTTCTGCAGTTGAATTTACATTGTGGTACTTTCTAGCTGCTTATTACGGAAGATGTTTTATTTCCCATATTACTCTATCTTCACCTGTTCAATAGTATATTTAACAGATATTGATATAAGGATTGGGTGAGGTATTGCATATATCACATATAGCACAGGGCCTGGCACCCCCAAATGCTCCATAATGCTTTTATTTCCAAGGCTTGCTTCTCCATTCCTAAGCCCCTGGTCTTCCCCAAGAATGTAGAAAGAAAAAAACTAAAACCATTTGCCCTAACTGCCACCTGGTGGCCCCATAAAATAGTTTTAGCATTCCTAGGCAGCATAGGGGTAGCAGAGAAGAAACTCTGGTGGTGGGGACACTTCATGGCTATGACAAGGCTTATTTCCCTTTCTTTCTGTGTGGAAAGATGCTGAAAAGCTATTAGGCATATGATATTAGACATATCCTATCTGGACATGAGGGAAATATTTAAATGAAGAGTTGCAGTTAGCCGTGCAGTAACTACTTTGTCCACTTACTAACTAGAGGACTATTTGGCCAAGCTAATAGCTCCAGGGAGGTAGCAGGTTTTGCATTTCACTGGAAGAAAAAAGACTTCGTGGTTGATGTCATTTCCAATGCTCCCGTGGGTCACAGGCTCCCAAGGCAAGACTCAATTTTAAATGCTGCTCTTTAAGGTTGGAAAAATCCCTATTGTTTTATGTTGCTTTAGGAATGCATAGTACCTTACACTGTTATGACATTTCGAGTTTTAAAATATAACACCTGTTTCATCTTTATCATGACTCAGAAATTCTAGAGTTTGTTTCTCACTGCCATCTGGAAGTTTAACACAGTGCCTGGCACATTGAAAATCTTTAATATATATGAATAAATGGATTAATTCCCATTGTATAGATAAGGCTTTGTTAAGTTTAGAATATTGCAGAAGATCAGGCAGATAGCAAATGTCCATGTCAGAATGAAAATCCACACCTTCTGACCCCTATGCAGTGTTCTTTCCATTCAGCTGCATCATCCTGTCTTTCAGTAAAATTAGTTCAAATTCTCATCTTTGAGTGATCCTTTGTCTAGAGAGAGCAATGACAGACTTCTGGATTATTTGCACCATCACTGGTTTAATTACACAGTTCTTGTGGACTTTGATTACTTTCCTGTAATACACAGTTCGTTTAGAGAAAGCATGACCTAAGCCTAATGCAGACAGGATTATAGCATCTGTAATTTGCAAGGGGAAGCTGGGTTTAAATATCCTCCCACTGGAAGATCACTTGATCCTCAGATAGTTCTAAGTAAAGAAGGATTAATTCAGAAAAGAAGAAGGAGCTCTTCAGACAGGTAGTCAGTGAGACTCCTAGGCATTCAGTCTAAGAGGATGCAATCTCACAGGGGCTGGATCCTTGTGAAGGGTGGAGCTGTACTGCAAAACACTCCTGTTACTACAAGAGTACAGGATCATCCTGCGATCGACCAAACCCCACCTGAGCTTGCCTCATTCAGCCGCTTGGTTGTTATTAAGTTACTGCAATACTGAGGTGACCTTAGACACAGTAAACAAGATTCTGGAAATTGCTTCCACAGACTCTTCCTCCTTCAGTTCTCATTTTCATTGTACTTTTCGCTCATCTTCTTACATTGACTCAAAGAATTCTGAACCTTAATTTTAACTATCTCATTTTGCAGTCACAGGGT
The DNA here is from genome assembly GCF_000001405.40 of Homo sapiens. NCBI lineage: Eukaryota > Metazoa > Chordata > Mammalia > Primates > Hominidae > Homo > Homo sapiens. The sequence goes on along the minus strand of NC_000008.11, from coordinate 32,224,051 downwards.
GAGTTGTGGAGGGCAGAGCTTACATGAACGGAAGGACCTACTGCCGGTTATAAACAAAGCTGGGCAGAGATTCCTGTTCCTCTCCTTCCAGGCCACAGTGAACTCTTCCAAAATCAGCTACATCTCACCTCTCTCTCTATTCTGCTTATTTTCTCTTCTCCCTCTTTGTGCATCTTGTCCTCTTACTCATAGTCAGCTGCTGCTTATTTTTCCTGCTGCTTTTATTGGTTTATAACCCATAATTTTCCGCTACGGGCCTCCCTTCCCTTCTCTAACTTCATTAAGCTCTTTTTTCCTCTCAAGGCTTCCTTGGGGCCTACAGCATCTACAAAGTGCAGTCACTAGAGGGCATCATGTTCACGTACAGTTGACAAGGACAAGGACAGACTAGCTAGAGCACTGCTGAGGAGGTGCAAAAATACACAACAGTGCATCAGATGTGTGTATCACTATTTACAAAATCACATTCATTTTTATTGGCCTCTTTAACCTGATCAAAATCTGGAGAGAGAGGTCAAGTATTACTGTCTCTATTTTCAACCAAAGAAGGAAACCAAGGTTCAGAGGGGTTAAATGACTTACCCAAGGTCATAGAAACAGCAATTATATCCTCCCATTGAATAGCATCACCTAAAAAAACTAATATAAAACCAAAAAATGCAGGTTTCTATTTTTGCAAGATTTAAACCTAATTATGGCAAAGTATTACACCTTTGCAATGCAATGAAATAGAACTCTAAAGTTATTTTATACCAATAAAATACAAAGTAGCAGCTGCACAGTAATTTCCAGTTAGAGAAGTTGTTTATCGTTTTAAAAGAATGGATTTAAACATTTTATAAATGCTCTTTATTTATATCTTGTCTAGTAATTGGAAATGTGATTACATTTTTTCTAAAATTGTCACGTGTTTTCTAGTTATTCTTGTTTTTTCTTTGCTATTTATTTTTGGCAAATCAACTACATGCTATTTTGTTGTATTTTTTCCTGTCTATCTGATAATTGAAGTAAAGAAAAACAGAACAACATAGTTGCACTACAAAACATCTGATCTTTGAGAGAATGCCATTGTCTCTCTTTGATTGATTGAATACCTTGAATGCAGGCTGTTCTCGGATTGGCAACATTGCTTATTTGCTTAGTGCTGTCACCGGCAAAATGGAAATAGAATCTACTTAAAACAGGCAAGACTGTGAAGCTGTGTTTTGGCTGGTCACTTTCTCCAGCCATTTTGATCAATATATTTCCTCATTTTTGATAGGGCAGATCCCTTCAAGTGGTGGCACCTTATACCTGGTGATGGCAGATAGAACTCCTGTTTCCAGGGAACTAGAAGCTCTGAGAGCCACATGTGATGGTTGCAGTGACAGTGGGGGAAAAATTAAGGAAATCAAGGTTCCGTAGCTAATGGTGCCATTAAAGGTTTGAAAAGATAAAAAGCTGTGGGCTGACTGAATGTCTTTGAAGAAGATAGACTTGCCCTGGGTGTAACTGGGGGAGATGGCAGAGAAAACAGGATTTATAGTGGGTCAAGATTTCTTTATGTTTCTTTCTTTTTTTCTTTCTTTCTTTCTGTTTCTAGGGGTTAACAGTTTCAAAGATTAATTTTATAAATTATACCATGCATATAGTGAATATACTAACAGTTACACAGAACTTTAGAAATTCCAATTGTTTACAATAACTCTTCCTGGTGTCATTCATAAGAGGCAGAGAAGGAAGGAGTTAAAAAGCCAAGAGAGTAAGTGAAAAACAAAAAGAAAAAAACAAGGTTGTGAGAGCCCACTCATTTTTATCTTTATTTTTATCTCTTTTTTAGTCTACTTTTACTTAGAATTAGCACTTTACAATAATATGAAATGAAGTAGTATCAGCCTTTGTTTCTAGAAAAATCTTATTGGAGACCCTTGTGTATATATGCTACTGAAAACATGTATACATTTACACATATCTTCCTGTCTGTGGCCTGGAAAAAGTGTGTGTGCATGTGTGTGTGTGTGTGTGTGTGTGTGTGTGTATGTATGTTTCCATATAGACACTTTAGCTTAGCTGTGAAAGGAATGCTTAGTGAATGATGAAAAAGAGCAAACTGTTTTGGTAACAAAGATTTGAATGACAGACAAGTAAAGAATTGTAAGTGTGAAAATAAAATCCTTTGAATATAAACAAAACACTAAACATGGTTGAGAAGAGAGCAAAAAAAATATAAAGATATATGTTCAATTTTTTTCCTTTTAGACCAGTTTAAAAAAAATACAACTTTTTTCTGACAATGCCAACACAAGAGATTCACGGGCTCGACATTTAGTCTACTGCAACAACAACAAATACAATGAAAATGTCCCATAATCAGTACCCAATCAATATATGCTGTAATCACACCCTCTTTTTCAGAGAAAACAAAACAAAAAGGAGATTAATTCATTCCCTATGAATTTACTACTTTACTATGATTTACTGCCTAGAGATAATATGACAACAAAGCTGTAATAATCTACAGTCCTTGAATAAGGGATAAGATCTCCAAAATATCTATGTATTTGCCTTACCCCATCTTACTATTTATTTATTTATTTTTGCTAAGATTCTGAATATGCGAGTTAAATCACATTTAGAGGCAACACAGTCTTGCAAAAGCAGCTCTGTTCATATTTTCAACCCTACCTGGAGGAGGTTAACTCTCTAGATTAGAGGGAAAACGAAGCGGGTCTCCTTTCTCCACCGTGCATCAAGACAGGTAAAGGAAATATTTCACCTACTAGCCTTGGATGACAAAATGCATGCTAGCTAAACATTGCATTGCTGTAGATCTCCGTGTAACTACAGCTCATCTGAGATTTCTATCCCAATTTTCTGCAGAAGCAACAATTATAATGAAATATATATATATATGCATATAGATAAGAAATATTCATTACCTTTATTTTTTAAAGTAGCTAAAAAAATCATTTCATTTCTTTTTTTCATGCATCCATTGAGTGTAGGTTAAAACTCCGTAGAAGAATTGACAGCCGCCCTACCAACTGTAGCCTAGCCCTCGTTTACGGATAAATCTCATTTTTTTTAAAATCACGTTTTCAGAATCTGTTAGGAACTGTGCTTTGTGGACTGTGATGAATTGCATATTGCTTTTGCAATTCTTTCTGGTTAAAAGCCCCAGGTTTCCAGCATCCAGAGCCGACCATGATTGGCTCTACCCGAGGGACGCAGGTCCTGGGATTCCCTCCCAGCTAGCAGCAGTGACATCACCGGCAAGCTCCTCCGCTGCGCGGGGATGGAGTGGGGGAGACCGCGGAGGAGCTCCGGGAGGGGCGTTGCTGGGGGTTTCCAGGGAAACACTGCAGCAGATGGCCTGCCTCTGAGCCACAGTGACACATCTGCAGCATGGCTGGTGGGAAGGATATTTTTGGAAAATATCTGCTCCCTTAGGTCCGACTAGTTCTGATATATTTTCCCCTCCTTTGAACCAGCGTGTTTATTTCTCCCCAAGTTCTTTGATTTCTGGAAATGGGGCTTTTTATTTTCATTGCCCAGCCGTTATCCGAAGGATCCCAAGCTACTAACCGATATTAAACCTCCTTGAGCCCCAGTTTTCTTTCCAGGCTCCCACCCCGAGCCCCTGCTCCGCTCCGTCCCTTATATTATGCAGGCTGTCAAGGTGATGCGTGGAATACAAGGGCAAATGTTGCTAAGGTAACAGGATTGAAAACCTGCAGAAGCAGATGCTTTATAACCTGGGGTTTCCCTCATTTGCATTTAAAGACTCCTGAGCAAGAGCCTCTAAGCAAGCCAAGTCCTTGTAGTTAAAATAAGAAAGACATTTTTAAAAATAACAATTGTCTCCTGGTAAGTCATTGAGCAACTTGTCCCACTGCAAGGTTGAGTAACTGCAGGAAAAAAAAAATATGATGTGTTAATAGTCCCCACTGTGCTGGCAGTAGGGCTGATGCATTTAAGAGCACCCCCGCCTTCCCCACTTTCTGATCTTAAACCTACGAGGAATTCCCTTCTCTTTTTTCTTCCAGAATTGCCCTTCATGGCATTCTCCAAGGTTAAACTTCTGACAGCCGGGGGTGTGTCTCTTCTATTCTTGGTGATCTCAGAACGCCTCATTGAACATTCATAGCAAAGGACACCAAAGTGGCAAAGCTCAGATTTGAAGCCAGTGGAAAAATCTCTTAGGCTACATGAAATTTAGGAATGTTGACATTACTAAAGAATTAAACAAACGGGGTTTTAGACATGGCTTTGACTACTAGAACACCTTTAATTAAACAACTTCACAGGATCTAACCACTGCATTCAACACGACCAAGATGAAATTCCCCGAATGAACTACAGTAACCAAGCAGCAGAAACTGCACTTTACTCACTGTTTCTTTAAGATTTAGATCATAATTCTTTCAAATGAAATATATTAAGCATTTGCCAGTGTTTCAGCATCTTAAGGTGCTCCCAAATGTGTATGAACAGAGCAGGAAAATAGACGTTTGTAACCCATACAATAAGGCAGATTCATAAATGGCTTTTGGCAATTATAGGAACTGAAAACTGGGTGGTATGTGATTGAAGGGAGAAGAAAAGCATAGAAATGACAGTGATTTTAGTAATAGGGCATGTATTCGTGGTGGAGCATTTCAATAGATTTTGAAACGGCTTTGTTAATGAGCAGCCTCTTTACTCCTGAAACCTGAATGCAGATTTCTTTCTTTTCTTTCCTGCAAAAGCTCAATAAAACCTCATCATAGGAAGGTGAGAAAAGAGCTGTTTTAGGTGCCAGAAATGGCATTTATTTTCACATAAGTAATATTTTCTAACCTCTATTTGTGATGGTGGCGGTCAGAATCATGTTGCCAACTATAGCATCATGCAACCAACTCAGATGTGAATTCCTAAATCATAACAAGTGTAAGATCAAACACAATTAGAAATCATGCCTTCTGAGATTAATAAAATTTTAATAGATTTTTGAAATCATATTTCTGTATTGTGTAAGCAGGAAAAGCTGCCTCTTCATCCACACTACCAAATATTTCATAAGTAATGTTCTAATAACACCTGGCACAGGGTTTGGCAGAAAATACATACTCGGTAAATGTCTTCTGTGATTCTGAATCTGTAGTTATTAAGGGTACTGCCATGCATCCTGACTGTGAGTAAGGACCTTGGACACCCACGGAAATCCTGCCTTTGCTCCCTGAGATAAATGAAGGATGGTTACTAACTCAGTAGCCAAAGAAGATGAGGCTCATTTGGCATCCTCTAACCTCTAAGCATTGTCAAAGGCAGGCTTTCGAGGTTGTGCTTCTTGACACATACAATGAAGAAGTGACTCATAGAAAGTTAACATTTGAAAGAACAACAGTCATCATTTAGCACCTGCATCTTACAGATGAGGATGCTGCATTTCAGAGTATGAAAGCCGCTGCTTCTCTGGAGACCAGGGAAGGAAAACCATTTCTAAATGTCATTTTTTGTGGACTGCATAGAGCCAAGAGTAGCTTCTCCAGACTAAGCAATCTGTGACTCTTGGTCGTGTTAAAAGGAAAACTTTAGACAAATTAAATTATCAGACTTTAATTGAGCAAAGAATGAGTCATGAATGGATCAGCCCCAGAACCAGAAGAGGTTCAGAGCACCCCCGTGATGCCACGTGGTAGGAGAGAATTTATGAACAGAAAAAGAAAAGTGACATATGGAAAATGGAAGCAAGGTACAAAAATAGTTGGGTTGGTTACAGCTTGATGTTTGCCTTACTTGAACATGGTTTGAATGGTTGGCCACCTTTGATTGGCCAAAACTTGGAGATTGGCACAAGAGTAGGCTACAATCTGTTTACACATCCAGTTACATTACAGCTCACTATGCACAGAGACAGAGTTAGGCCAAACTTAAAATATGTAAGGAGACAGCAAGAATTAGGTTTCTCAAGCATGATCTTAATATCGCCACTATTTTGTTTAAGAACTTACACTAATTCTTCACCGTTTAAGATAACTATCCATCATTTTTCAAATAGGTGGTAAGGTATACAGGAAAGACTGGTACTCTGACTTCAACACTCACAGGTTGTAACTTAAACAAGTCACAGTTTCATTTTCTGTAAAAAGCCCTCCTATTATTAATGCTGGCTTTGCAGGGAGCTGGAAGGGCAGGGATCATCTGTTTTAGACTTAGTTCAGAGCCTGGCATATACTAGGGGTAAGCTAGAATGAAACTTCATGGGGGCAGGACTGTTTTGTTCTATGATGTATACCAGATGTCTAGAATACTGGCTGACATATCCTAGGTAAAGATTTCAAGAATTGTAAGTTGAGTTTTTAAAATGAATGAATAAATTTAAGAAATGGATATGGAGAGAGATTTGGGACAGGAGTATTCTCAGTAATGCATGGTTCCTCTCCTTTTTCACCCGATTTCTTCCCTACTGGTAATTTCAAAATGGTTAAGCTTTTTTATTTATTTGTTTAAAAATGTAGAGTATTTTAACTCAAAAAGGATGGCAATTGCAATATCCAGTTTTTTCTTGCAGTAGATGGAAGAGAAAATGACTTCTTATGGTATTAAGTAAACTCTTCCAGGGGAGGTTGGAAATAACCAGCTCTTGGCTTAGAGAAATTGGCTGGTGTTCTGTTGACTGACTAGCAGAGCAGGGGACGCTCCGTTAGGTGTGGGCAGGGTCACTCATCACTCCCATGGCCTTTGGCTGGGCACTAGACTTTCCTGGGAGCTTTTACCTCTCCCTTTTCTTAGATCAATTAAATCAGAATTTCTGGGCTCTGCAGGCTTTCATAAGTGCACCAAGTATTTTTTTTTTTTTTTTTTTTTTTTTTTTTTTGAGACAGGGTCTCACTCTCTTACCCAGGCTGGGGTTTCAGTGGCTCGATCTTGGCTTACTGCAACCTCTGCCTCCCAGGTTCAAGTGGTTCTCCTGCCTCAGCCTCCAAAATAGCTGGGATTACAGACATGTGCCACCACGCCCGGCTAATTTTTATATTTTTAGTAGAGACGGGGTTTCACCATGTTGGCCAGGCTGGTCTTGAACTCCTGATCTCAAGAGATCCTCCCGCCTTGGTCTCCCAAAGTGCAGGGATTACAGGTGTGAGCCATCATGCCTGCCCTCCCCGAATATTTTTAATGAGCAACTAAGGCTGAGAACCATGGCCTTGAAAACAAATGATAATCTAAAGTTGGTTTGGGAAGGTAATTATTTTTGTTAGGCTGGCTCTAACTAATAGAATTATGTTCTGAACTAGATGTATTAGTTAAGGTTCTCCAGGGAAAAAGAACTCATTATATTATATATATATCACAATAATGTCATCATAAAGTAATATATTTACATCTAAAAATATAATTTATATTATATTTAATATAAACACTCTGCCAGCATTTCTATTGTGCTCCTAGGAACTTAAAATAATAATAATTTAATAATATCAAAGACAAATGATAACCTAAAGTTGGTTTGGAATGGTAATTATTTTTATAGGCTCATTCCAACTAATAGAATTTATGTTCTAAACTGGATGTATTAGTAAGGTTGTCAAGAGAAACAGAACCAATTTATATATAATATCATGATAATACAATTGTAATGTAATATATTAATATCTAATAATATAACCTATATTATATATAATATAAATACTCTGCTGCCATTTCTATAGTGCTTCTAGGAATTTAATATAATGATAATTTAATACTGTCAGAGACAAATAATAACCTAAAGTTGGCTTGGGATGGTAATTATTTTTATTAGGCTCATTCCAACTAAAAGAGTTTGTCTTCTAAATTGAATGCATTATTTATGGCTCTTCAGAAAAACAGAACCAATTATATATAATATGTTATAATAACACAATAAAATGTATAACTGTATACGATAATTAGAAATATTAATTCTAATATAATATATACATTTCCATAATATAGTATAATATCTAGATAATGTATAGATTTATGTAGATATAAATATAAAACACCCTACCTTTATTTTTCTTTTTTTTTTGAGACAGAGTCTTGCTCTGTCTCCCAGGCTGGAGTGCAGTGGCATGATATCGGCTCACTGCAACCTCTGCTTCCCAGGTTCAAGCAATTCTCCTGCCTCAAACTCCCAAGTAGCTGGGACTACAGGCACACACCACCAGCCTGGCTAGTTTTTGTATTTTTAGTAGAAACGGGTTTTCACCATGTTGGCCAGATGGGGCTTGAACTCCTGGGCTCAAGTTATCCTCTTGCCTTGGTCTCCCAAATTGCTGGGATTACAGGTGTGAGCCACTGCACCCTGCAACTACCAATGTTTTCGATGGTGCTTCCAGGAAATGGTTATTTAAACAAAGTCAAAAATTTTCCTTACTCTAGACATCTTAGAACCTTTGATGAGCTAATGCATATAATGAATCTTTATTGATTAAGTATAGAGGCAATAGATTCAGACTCTGTCCCTTACAACTGTGAGACCTTGGGCAAGTTGCTGAACCTCTCTGAGGCATTTCCTCATGCATACACTCTCAGTAGTTTCCTCATAAGTGTGTGAGGATTAGTGAGATGAAGTATGTAAAGCATGTAGTGTGATGGCTGGCACACAGCAAATGCTCAGAGGTGTAAACCATAGCACGTGGCTCTCCAGTCCTTTCTCAGTCCTGCTGCAGAGGTGTTAACAGCTAGAAGGAGTCCAGTCTATGCTGGTTGTCAGAACAGGTGATTATCACTCCAAGTTAACAGCTGTAAGCAAGAGGAGCTATAGCACGAAATGCCTTCTCAACTTTTGGGACCACATAGCCCTTTTTGCTGAGTTTCATAAAACTAGTATTCTGAAGAAAAGATTGGTAAAATGTTGCCTTATACAAATACAAGATGTTACAATTTATTCTTAATGTTTCCAGATATAGTGCAGATAAATATGAATTTCAGGCAAATAAAATATATGTATATATATTAGTATAAGTAAGCATAGGACACAATTCTGCTAAAAATTATTTGTTGTTTATCTGAAATTCCAATTTGACTGGGTGTCCCCCATTTCCTCAGGCAACCCTGTCCTAAGGGATTATTCAAGTTCATTTAAAATACCTATCACAATGACCTGGAAGTAGAGAAAGAGAATGGGGCATTTGGCCAAGTGAAAATGTCCCTAAACTCATAATTTCCATGCATTTTTCCCATTCAGCTTTCTTTTATGTGTAACATTTTAGCTACTTCCCTCATTCAGAGTTTAGTTACATGACTGGCAGGGGCTTATTCACTTTATTTCTTGCTTAGTATTTAGAGCAGAGGAGGCACCCAGCAGGTTTGTTTTGTTTTCTTTAATTGAACTAAGATCAACCACTCATTTTCTGATTTTTCCTTGAAAGAAAAGGAAAAAGAATTCTCTCTCTCTCTCTCTCTTTCTTTTTCTCTTTCTTGATTGACAGTGTCTCACTTTGTTGCCCAGGATGGAATGCAGTGGTGCAATCACAGCTCACTGCAGCCTCGAACCCCTGGGATCAAGTGATCCTCCCACCTCAGCCTCCCAAGTATCTGGGACTGCAGGGGTGCACCATCAAGGCTGGCAAAAAACACTCTTTCCAATGCTAATATCCAAAGGAAAGCAATGTTATTATTTGTATAATCTACCAGTTAGATGAGAATTAAATAGGTTTTATGCAGCATGATGTCAATGGCTATATAATATCTTTTAAATCAATCCTTATTCTTGTTTCCAACTTTGTTGAAAACTATGGTTTAAATATATATAAAGATATATCTTTGCATAGGTCCTGTAGGGTAGCCGAATATGCCACCCCAAAATACGCCACTTTGGCATTGGGATTATTTTGATGTGAAGACAGAATTTTGAGAGAAAACAGCTATAAGAAAAGCTCTCTGCCCTGCCCCTGTTTGCCTAAAAGCAGGACACAAATTTGCAAAGGTGTTTTCCCTCCCCTCTCTACTAGGAAGGATAAAAGTTAATCATCAGAGACAACTCTAGACCCTTAGGAGTCCAGAGACGGAACCACAGGCATCCACATAAACTTCCCTAACTAATCTTTATCTACAATAGGTTTCCCATATATTTGCTTTCCCACAGTCTGCCACCCTAGAAACTCAAAGTTCGTTCCTTTGTCTTGTCATTTCTCTAAAAATTTATTGTTCCTTTGCTGAGATTCTATATTAGCTCAAGGTCTTACCAGCCCTTGGAGTTACTCACGTCTGAGTGCTCCCACGTGTGAGCCCAATGCACACACTAATAAACTCCTGCTTCTCTCTTGTTAAGCTGTCTTTGTCAGTCCAATTTACAAAGCCCCAGCCAGAGAAAGGAGGAGGGTGGTAGGAAGAATTTTTCTTCCTCTACAGTTTCAGACTCATTTTAAGTACTTAAAAATCAAGAGTATCATTAGGTAGAGATATTGCTACCCAAGTTCAGATTTTCTTTTTTTTTAAATTTTTTTAAAATTTTAAGTTCCGGGATACATGTGCAAGATGTGCAGGTTTGTCACATAGGTAAACATGTGCCATGGTGGTTTGCTGCACCTATCGACCCATCACCTATGTATTAAGCCCAACATGCATTAGCTATTTATTCTGATGTTCTCCCTCCCATGCTCCCCGACAGGCCCCAGTGTGTGTTGTTACCCTCCTGTGTCCATGTGCTCTCATTTTTCAGCCCCCATTTATAAGTAAGAACATGTGGTGTTTGGTTTTCTGTTCCTGTGTTAGTTTGCTGAGGATAATAGCTTCTAGCTCCATCCATGTCCCTGCAAAGGATATGATCTTCTTCCTTTTTATGGCTGCATAGTATTCCATGGTGTATATGTACCACATTTTCTTTATCCAGTCTATCAATGATGGGTATTTGGGTAAATTCCATGTCTTTGCTATTGTGAAGAGTGCTGCAGTGAACATATGTGAGCCTGTATCTTTGTAATAGAATGATTCAGATTTTCTTTGGAGCACCAGTGAGTTCAAAATTGTCTTAATAATAGATAGAAAACCTGAATAGCCAATCACCATACAAGAAATAGTAAGGTAGACTTTGCTTTACCTCAAGGTAAAAAGGAGTTTAGGGGAACTGGTGATAAAAACCATCTCCCAAGAACAGATAATAACTCCAATATTCAAACTATTTCAGAATTTAGAATATGAAGTCTCCTAATTCATTTTACCAAGCCAACAAAATACTCATCTCACAGTCAATGCACAATGCAAATTTAAAATAATCTCAAATATGAATATAGAAGAGCTCTAACCAAAATTAGCAAATCAAATTTAACCGTGAGGTCAAAGAATAACAAGAACCAATAAGGTTTATTGCTGGAATGTTGATTTCAAGTAGGAACTAGATTTATATTAATACTTCCCAACTTTAACAGATTAAAGAAAAAAACTGTGTTCTTCTTGATGACTCAAGGAAAATCATCTCATAAAATTCATAATCTAGTCCATATGAGTTCTTAAATAAAATCTGGTTTATATAATAAAGCATAACTCATGAAAGCTCATGGAAAATACTATATGGGCATTCTCCTGTCCAATATGGTACTTACTGACCACATGTGGCTGTTTATCTTTAAATTAAAATTAATTAAAATTTTAATTTTCCCATCATTCTAGCCATGTTTTCAGTGGTCATTGTGTCCAATAACTATCACACTGAATAGCACAGAAAGTTTTAGTTGACAATGCTGCCATGAACAAACCAGAAACAGATCCCAGGTATACATGGAGTTGCAAAAATTTAATAAGAGCTAACTTTACTGAGTGCTCTTAAATTGCCTGACGCTATTTTAAGTATTTTATGTGTATTATTTAATTTCCATATGGTATAATATGCTAAGTCTTATCATTTCCTTCTCCCCTGCCCCTATTTTATGGTCATGAAGTTGGTGGGGCAGGAAAAATGAATCAGTAAATCAAACCTTACATAATTTTTAAGTGGTAGATCTGGGATTCAAGAAACACACATTTACCTCTTAAGTTACCTAATATCCCTGTGTTAAAGGTGGCAATTCAAATGTAGGAAGAAAGGATAAAATGCTTACTAAATCCTGTAAGGCAAATGTTTATCTATTTGGGAAAAAAATAACTTAAATATGGACTTTTCATTATTTAAAAGGCACAGCCATCAATGGACTAAAGATATAATTGTAAAAAATAAAGTTCACAAAAGCTCTAGGAGAAAACAGTATTTTTCTATCCTTGGAGATAGTATGGGAGGAGGTGGTTCCTAAGTTAAACAAAAAAACTCAGGAACCAGAAATGAAAAGATTGGCAAATTTAAGTACACAAAAATTCAAGCCTGCTGTGTGATGGAAGAAACTATAATCAAGGATAAAAGGCAGTAATAGAGTAGAGGAAAATATTCAAAACGTAACGTGTTTCGATGTTAAACATAAATAAAAATATGGAAAGATGTTCAAGTTCACTGGTAATCACAGAAATGCATAACAAAGCAAGATGCCATAATTCACCCATTAGACTGGACAATTTTCAAAGAGTGACTAGATGCAGTGTTGGAGTGAGGGGACATAGAATTCCTCATAAATTACCATCAGTTGTGTAAAGTGATGTGCATGCTAGAGGATAATGATGATGTCTATTAAATTTTAAAATGAGGATGCCCCTGGCTCAGCAATTCCACTTTTGAGATTCCAACACATGTCACAACGATTTATGCACAAGGGACATTCTTTACATGGGAACACTGTTTCTAAAATGGAAAAACTGTAAACAACCTAAATACCTGCCAACTAGTGAATGATTAAATAAACCCAACTTCATCCATGCTATGACATGACTTGCATTCTGTGAAAAAAATAAATGCATGTATTTGGCACTTGAAACTATCTCCAAGATATACTGTGTATATAGAAAAAAGAAACAGAACAAAATCTTTCCCCTTTATCTTTGCTTATTTTTGACAACAAAAAGGGCTATAAGAAACACACCAAAATGCTAACACAGTTATCTCTGAGAAATGCGATTAGAGAGAGGATTATGGAAGAAAACATTTTAGGATTCTCATTTTACTCATTATACTTTTGTATTGCTTTCATGTTTTATAAAGAGGGTGTATTAATATTGTGAGCAACCAAGTAAAAAAGAAAAACAGCAACAAATATATTTAATAAACTGGTGTTTAGCATGTATGATTTTTCTGTTTCTCTTCCCTTTTCTTGGGACATTTATCTATGGTTAAAGAAGAAAGAGAGAATATCATATGAATGTTTTGTCCTGGGCTGCTACTGTAGACAGAGATAAAGCTAAGCCCAACAAGTATCAGCAACTGTGAGACTCTGCACACACGGTCTTATAAACCTCTTTACTAATTCTTATCAAATCTTGGGAGCAGCTCCCACTACAGCTACTACGTGAGGTGGTCTGTAGGCTTGGAGGAAGAAAATTCAGCTAGTGTTTGCTTTCAACTACTTTGGCTTTTTTAGTGATGAAGTTCATCTTTTCTTCTCTTCAAAGTCTCAGAGCTGGTTGTACCGTGGCTGTAGACAATCTTAGATTCTGAGATAGTTTCGCATGGCAGAGGATAAGGGAAGGTCACACGTTACAAAAGCGGTTCTCAAAGTGTGGTCCAGGGATTGCTCATGGATCTTCAAGACCCTTTCGGGAGGTCTGTGAGATGAAAGCTGTTTTTACAGCATACTAAGGTGTTTGGCTTTTTCCCTTTTAGTCTTCAACAAATTGTCAGTGGGATTTTCTGGAGGCAATATGATGTGATGATGCCATTGCTCTGCTGATCACTGGAATATGTACTTGGGTATTCCTGTGTTCAAACATTTCTCAGTTTTAATTTCTAATATGAAAAAAATGATAGGTATAACCCATTTTAGAAAAAAACAAAAAACAAACACAAAAAAACCTCTTTGGGTCCTGGATTGTAAAGGGACTCTGAGACCAAAATGTTTAAGTATTGCTGCTTTACGACACCTTTTTGACACATTCTGGCTTCATCAATAATTTCTTTAGTCCCCAATCCTTACAAAACACTTCCTAATCATTTGTGTTTATCATATTGCAGGAAGCTTCTGAAGAAATTTATTTACAGAAGATAAATCTGAAGAACTAAAAAATCATCCCTTCAAAATTGAGAGAAGGACTCAATCCTTTCCAAACAGGTTTACCCCAGTTGACTTCCTTTCCTGTATAACAAAGAGACCCAGAAGCTGAAGGTGGCTTCCTTGCTTCTTCTCCATGTGCCTCTGTGCAGCCATCCCATCAAAACTGATCACTGAGCCTTCCTGTCCTCTAATGTAACTTACCATCAGAGAAAGAAAGTAAGAAGGAAGGAAGGAAGGAAGGAAGGAAGGAAGGAAGGAAGGAAGGAAGGAAGGAAGGAAGGAAGGGAAAGAGAGAAAGAAAGAAAGAAATTCACATGTGGGTGATCTCCAAGTGGATGAAGTTTGCTCATTTGATAAAAGCAAATACATTTTATTTTTCAGAAGAACCCTCTTTTAGTAGATTTTCTTAAATAATCTTTTGGCGAAACCCTCTTCTATGCTTATTTTAAACCCTGCTACATGATATACTATGCTATGAATGCTTGCTATGGAAAATTCAAACAACACTGAAAGGTATGTATAAATTTATAAAAGGCTTTTATAAATGAAAACAGTATAGTAAAATGGAGCTATACACTTCAAATGGGTGGATTTATGATATAAAAGTTATAGCAATAAAAAAAGCTAGAAAAACAGTGAAATTAGGTTTTCCTTGTCCTTTCATTTACTTATCTATTTTTAAAATTTGGTTTTATAAAACCAGAATGTTAGTATTAAATAATACTAAATAATTTTATAAATAAATAATGGTGATTATGGAACATAATTGCTATGTCAGGCATTCATTGTTAAAATAGTCCATGGAGAGAAACGCATTTAATTCATTCTTAAGATATCTATAACTTTGGTCATCCTTAAGGCACAGATACCATTATTATCCTTATATTTCAGATGAGGAAACTGAAGAGCAGAGATGTTAAGTTATTTCCTGAAATTATATTGCTAGTAAATGGCAGAGACAGGATTCAAACTCAGACCTTCATTGAAAAGCCCATGATCTTAATCTCTGTGTTCATTTTGCACTCATCTACATGATATATTAGGCTATGCATGCTTATTATTGAAAATTTGGACAATATTGGAAGGTATGTATAAGAAAACAAAAATTATCAAAAACAGTCTTTCATATAGATCATTACTTATTTTGAGGTACATCCATATTCTTCCAAGTAGTCATAGTACATTAAAAATTTCTCAAGTCAAAATTGCACAAACTTTTCACTTAACACTGTATTTATTGTATTTTTGATGTATTTACCATTCTCTTTTTTCAAATATTTAGGTTGTTTCCAGCTTTTCCCTATTGTAAATCCAACTGTCAGGAGCATCCGTATACATAATCTTTTACTGCATTGCTGATTATATTTCTTAGGCTATATATATTTAATGGAACATCTATATTTTCATATGGTCAAATAGTTTTTAAAAATTAAAACACTTGGCTGGGCCCGGTGGTTCACGCCTGTAATCCCAGCACTTTGGGAGGCCGACGTGGGCGGATCACCTGAGGTTAGGAGTTTAAGACCAGCCTGGCCAACATGGTGAAACCCTGTCTCTACTGAAAATACAAAAATTAGCTGGGCATGGTGGAGGGTGCCTGTAATTCCAGCTACTCGGGAGGCTGAGGCAGAGGATGCAGTGAGCCGAGATCACGCCATTTCACTCCAGCCTGGACAACAAGAGCAAACCTCCGTCTAAAAAAAAAAAAAAAATTAAAACACTTCATAGTCCCACCAGCAATGTTTGAGAGTACCCATTTCCTTACAACCTCCTCGACTGCCCTGATCAATGTTAGTCCATCTGCCATATGACAGGTAAAAAATGATTTCTTAATTGTTTCATATATTTCTAATGTAGTTAGAAAATCAAACTAAATAGGGTCATTTAAGAATTATTCGATGAGAACACATAGACATTAGACAGAGACCTAGGCATTTCTTTTCTCGTGCATTAACCTTTGTGTAAAAAAATCATGTCTCATTTCCTAAACCATTTGTTTGTCTTCCCATTAGGTCAACTCTCATCCCTTAACACCCAAGGATGGTATTGTGTGGGTGAATAAATGTGATTTTCCATCAAAAGGGAGTGAGAATGTCTGCTATTTAACTTGGTATAATTAAGTAGAAAGCTTTAGGAGCAATATGAGTAACACATTATTCTAATGGGCTAGAGATGTGAGTTGCTCACCACTAAGATCCTATTCACCATAAATGATTGGCCTATAAACCATTCCCTGCTGTTCTCAGTCAAACAGTCAGATATTTTTAACTCTGGCTTTCTTTTTTCAAACTGTCTAATTGGATTTTTTGAATCTGTTATTAGACGGAAATAGCCCACTGGTACTACAGGAAGGCTCCCCATATGCTGTTATGATGTTTGCATAGTTTTGCTAGATTTAATCAAATTTCATTCATAAAGATTAGCTGAAAATTGAGAAGGAAACTGATTGTTCCCTACTGAACTAGAAAGAACAGAGTAGTAGCTTCTGACCAGACAGAGATGCTTAACAGGGTAAAATGGAAGTCATCCTTTATGCAACTAAAGTAACCAAAATTTCCAGAAGAAAAAACAAAAGATATATCAAGCAATGGCACTCAAATATCTAAAATCTGGAGGTATTAGGTTGATGCAAAAGTAATGGTCATTTCTGCCCTTACGAGTAATGGCATTAAGAGAAATGGCAGAAACTGCATTACTTTTGCACCAATATAATACTTGTTTTGCTTTTCTTTGTCATTAAAAAAAAAGATAATAGTATTGCATTTTTGTTGGAAAGCGACATTTAAAATTACCTGAAAATAGCATACCCCAGAGACTGTCATGTTCTAGAGGCTTACTTCCTCCAAAGGGTGTTATAAACATGTATTTGAAAAAACAAATGTTGTTTTCCACACATTTGACATCTATTTATTAAGTAAATAAAAGGAACACAGTAATATTTACAGTACTGAAGAGGTCATTGGAATAGGTAATATGCACTGACTCACGGAGGAGATAGATGGATTATGGTGAAGTTCTGGATTCAGTCATTTTAGTCAGGCATAATTTTTATTTCACAATAATTAGAATAATAATTCTGGTCATGAATAACTCAGAAACAGAAAGTCAAATACTGCATGTTCTCACTTATAAGTGGCTGCTAAATAACGTGTACACGTGGACACAGAAAGTGGAATTATAGACACTGGAGACTCAGAAGGGTGGAGGTTGTGGGAAAGGGATGAGGAATTACTTAATGCGTACAATGTACACTATATTCAGGTGATGGCTACACAAAAAGCCGAGACTTCACCATTACACAATACATCCATGTAATGAAACTGCACTTGTACCCCCTAAATCTATAAAAATTAATAATTGTGGACATGGAGGGGCATTATTCTGATAATGAAGATTTCAAATGGCTACAGAGAAGGTCAACAAGATAGAAGACTTTTCTTTTCTAAGTATTAGTATCTCTAAGATTAAATAAGAAAACTTCAGTCTTCGTAAGCTATTGCCAAAATATGCATCTTGAAAAAGTAAAGCCTTTAAACAAATTTTGAGAATTTATAGAGGTATTTGGTCTCCAATAATCTCTGTTTTTCCCTTCTATGCCTTTCCTCCTTTCCTTTTAATCCAACATGTATCTAGTTATATCTGATTTAGTGGCATAGGCTCCATGACTTTCACTTTGGAATGCTTCACGAGAGCCATTAGGTACTGAAGGATCTTCAGCAGGATAATGTAGGATACCCTGTGGCTCTCCAAGATGGTGTGGGAGTTAGATGGACGATCATGAGCTCTCTGCTACCAAAAGAGATAAATCACAAGGTGCTTTTCCATCATCTTCCAATAAAACTGGTTCTAGTTTCAGTTCTAATGTTTTTGCATTAGATTTTTAAAGAATTGAATGAGACAGGGTCTCATTCTGTTGTTCAGGCTGGAGTGCAGTGGCATGATCATAGCTCATTGTAACCTTGAACTGGCCTCAAGGGATTCTCCCACCTCAGCCTCCTGACTAGCTGGACAACAGACATCCATCACCACACATGGCTAATTTGTATTTTTTTTTTTTTTTTTGTAGAGAGATGGTCTTGGTGTGCTGCCCAGCCTGGTCTCAAACTTCTGGCCTCAAGTGATTACCTGCCTAAGCCTCCCACTTAGGCATCAGCCACCATGCCTGACCTGCATTACATTTTATTTGTGCATTCCTTATTTTTGTTTCTTTCTCAAAGCCTTGTCAGCAGGTAGTGGTCTTAATTAAATCAGACAGAAAATGCTTACCCTCCCAGGCCAATAGTCCATATCTTTAGCAGTAGCAAGTCGGTGCTACTCTTACCTCCCTCAGGAAAAGTAAAAAGGATAAGTTACCCTAATACTCATATGCTTGATTATTCTAAAGGATCATCTAATGCATAAAATTAGTCTTTTTGAGTTAATTCCTCTTTTTGTTCACAATGCCAGAGAGGTCGTGCTTACTTTTGGCCAAGGGGATTGAGTAAAAGAGCAGGATTTTGGTGAACACACCTGCGTTTTATTTCTCATGAGAAAAAATCATTTATATATCCTTATCTCAAATTTCTGATTGAAACGTTTTGTCATTATCACAAATGTCTCAGCAAGATATAGTTCTGCTCCTGGATGGTAGTAACACACGTTCAGAGAATCACTGGGGAAAAAAATGAGCATTGAGTGCCTACGTTCTAATTATTGAAGAGATTCTTTAAGTAACACGTATTGGGCACCTTTGATTACATAAGTAATGTAGAATCAATGCAGAAATATTTGTAAAATATAAAAAAACCCATCCAAATTAAAAAGACTTTTAATTGCACCAGAGATACCATTCTTGTTAACATTTTAGAGTATTTCCTTTCCTACACATCTCTAAGCCTCTAAGCCATTTATATGATATGTTTACTTAACAACATATCACGTCTACTTCTCCAATGATTATTTGTTCTATAAAATGGTGTTCGAAGGTTGCACAGTATTTCATTTATTTCCATGCCACACATTATTTAATTAGTTACTTAATTTGTTATTGTTTTATATTTGTTTTCGTGTATTTTCCCTAATAGAACTACCGCTGTGGTGATCATTGCTATAGATATGATTTTGAACACATTTCTGATTCAGGAAATCATTAACATATGTGCTTGCTGACATAAAATATTTCAATTTCTAAATGAGGGATTTCAGATGATTTTCTTCAGATAGAACACACAAGAAAGAAACCCAAAAGACAAAAACTATCATCAAGATGATCAAAACTTTCATTCTAGCCATAATTTATGTCAATGGGTTTAAATGTGTATATTCTTACAATCCATTGAGGCTACAGTTAACATTTTAAAAGATCCGTTAACACCTCAGGCATTTTGTCAGACATTTTCACAAATGTTATTTCTCATTTACTTCTCATAATTCACTATATAGATACTACTATCCCCACTTTGCAAATGAGGGGACTATAGTCCATTTAACATCCAAAGTCATTTGTTCTGTGGCAATTAGGACTGAAAACTCCTCTGACTAGTATGTGACTGGCATGAGCTTTCTCTATGACAATAAATGTAATTAGTGCCACTGTCACAGGACTGCTTCTACTTTCATTGTTCAGTCCTGACCCACAAACTAAACAAAACGATAGGTTCATGTAAAACCATGCTGTTAATGATACAATAAGAGCCATCTTGTTAAAAAAGAAGTCAGATCATGTCACTCCTCTACACAAACTCTTTCAATGGTTTGCTGTCTTATACCAAGTAAGAGCTGAAGTTTTTGCAAGCAAAGCCCAACACAATCTGGACTGCCCTTTCCTCATCTTTCTGACCTCATTCCCATCTCACTGAGTCAGCTGTAGCCATACCAAACTACTGACTATTCTTCAAACATGTCATACCCATTCTCTCCTTTGAACATGCTGCTCCTCCTCTTGGCATGATCTTCTATGTAGGTGTAGATATCTAGGAGATATCTCTACTCAACTCCTTCAAATCTTTACTAAAGATATTTCATTCTCAATAATCTGATCACCTGATTTTCCATTGCTACACTTTTTGTATCTCAATATATCCTATTCCTCTTTCCTTTGAATTTTTCTCTGTGGTACTTCCACAGAACTATCCATGGGTATTACTGGATCCACGTTCAAGCTCTGATATCATCTCTTCCTAGTTGCTGATTCTGATGGGGATTGCAGGTACATGAATGTAAGTGCCATGAGGATGGAGGTAACTGTTTTATTCCCTGCTATATCCTTAGCTCATAGAAATGCACTTGGCCCAAAATACACTTGGCCTATAGTAGGCACACAATTAATACTTGTTGAATGAATAAATGAATGAATGAGGCTGGGTGTGGTGGCTCACGTCTATAATCTCAGCACTTTGGGAAGACAAGGAAGGTGGATCACTTGAGGTCAGGAGTTCGAGACCAGCCTGGCCAACCCGGTGAAATCCCATCTCTACTAAAAATAAAAAAAGTTAGCTGGTGCCTGTAGTCCCAGCTACTGGGGAGGCTGAGGCAGGAGAACTGCTTGAAGCTGGGAGACAGAGGTTGCATGAGCCAAGATTGCACCACTGCACTCCAGACAAAGTGAGGCTCTGTCTAAAAAGAAAAAAAAAATAAGTGAATAAATGAAATAAGAACTAAAGAATTACTAAAATTTTGCAACTTATATAGAAATTTACTCCTAAAACTTCCACACTCCGTAGATTCCTTTCTCTCTTCCTTTCTTCTTCTGTTTCTGGTTGCCAGTTTTATTGTCTCACACTTTCCCTTACCTCCATCTAGTCCTAAAAAAAAAAAAAAAAAAAAAAAAAGCTGGCTTGCTTAAAGTTCCCCAAGATTACCAACACATCTGACATCAGGGCTGCGTTCAGGACCACAAAGCCAGTGGCAGAGTCAGTGACAGAAGCCAAATTCCAGTATTTGATAAGCTGAACCACAGTATCACTTGCAACTTGAGAGTCATATGTAGTTTTACAAAGATCAAACACATCAATGGTCTTCCTAGTGATATGGACAGGAGGCAAAAGAGTTCCTGGCGAGGGTTCCACCCTCAAGCGTAGACCTGCAGCCCTAAGTGAGAACAGGCATTCCTGTTTTTGCACCCAAATGTTGCCTTTTGACCCACTGCAACCCCCTATCGTGTGCCCATCCATATAAACCCCAATATCCAGGCTCCACAAGCAGAAGAGTGGCAGAGCAGCAGAGCAGTGCAGCAGAGGAGGGAAGAGAGGAAGTGTCTGAAGGTCAAGAGGAGTTTAGCTGTGGACAGAGAGGAAATCAGCTACGGGACCGATGAACTACAGGGGAAGATCATCTTCCCACTCCGTCCCCTCTCCCGTTCCCCTTCCTGCTGAGAGCCACCTCCATCACTCAACAAAATCCCCACATTCACCAGCCTTCAGGTCTGTATGACCTCATTCTTCATGGACACTGAACAAGAATTCAGGACACACTGGGTATGGGAACCCCAAAAGGCTGTCACACTGACTTTTCACTGAGCTGTTTAACACTTAAGCCATCTCCAGATGGCAGGGCTAAAAGAGCATTGTAACACCCCTAGACACCACTGTGGGGCTGGAGCCCAAAAGCACTCACCCTGGCTTCTGCTCCTGTGCACCTGCATGTTCCCCATCCCATAAGGGGTTTGAGCACTGAGGCCAAATAAACAAGACACCCCTGTCACAAGTCCTGTGAAGGGAGTCAGGGAACTCTCCCGTTTCACTAGGACATTTTGAATTGCTAAGAAAAAAACATTTTAAAGTACCTTGAAGGGCCCTCTAACCTCTTTTTTTCCTTTTCTTTATAATTATAAAGTGGAAAGACAGGCAAAGATTCTTTTACAGTAGTGTTCCATATTATAAATAAAAATAAAATAAAAATCAGCTGGTGGAAGCATCCACTTTTCTTTGACTCTAGCTGATTGTAGTTCTCTCATGCAGACCACAACCATGAGAAATTAACACTCAACGAGCTAATCAATATGCAGCAAATGAATTCCCTTTCACATCTGAGAGTTTACATACAAGAAATAAGCCTCTGAAAATATTATATAAATATTTCTCATCAAACAAGCAGAACTTTCAGCAAGACTAAAGCCATCAGCCTTGCCACTGTGAAATCCACATTAACTTCTTGAGGTCCCTTCAACTGATGCCATATGGTTGTGTTGGCACTTCTTGGATTATAAGTACACCAATGGTCCTATATGCAGTTGAGTTTGACGTATTTGACAAATTTGGACATCATTATTTTCTACGGTCTATTTAAAGTAGGAGAAATGGGGATTTTCTCTTTACTTTTTACAACTTGATAAGTCAGTTATTTGTAAGACTCAGATTTTAGGAGTTAACAAAGATACTTAGAAGCACTCTAACTCTTACCACAACATGACTTGAAAATGTAATGAATCATTTCATGTGTAAGTAAATTCCTTATCACTGGAGAGATTCAATTCAAGATTGTAAAATCACCTCTTAGGGATATAGTTTAGGCATCCAGGAGAGGTTGGAATAAATGATTGCCAAATTATTTTGACTCAGAGTCCATGGAATTGTTTAGAAAAGGTAACTGCTTTAAATGATTTCATATTTCTCATAAGAGAGAGGAAATTTTGTACTATCTAGAACCATAACTGCAGAGTCCGGCACCTATTGTGAGACAGTTGCAATTCAGGCTAGATTCTGGTTGATATGCTGCATTGACCTCACACTTCCATTCCATTTCCTCCTGAAATGCCACTAAAGTAACAATAAAAGACCAAAATGAGTAGTAATCCACAAGGACAAAGTTAAAGAAAAGAAGCTAACCAATGCATAAGAATTATAACAATATTTTGGAAGATAAAATGAAAGGTGGATGAGCAGCAGCTGATTGATTAAAATGGAGACTGCCTGAACTTGGGTGCCAGTTGACAAGTGTATGGACAAGGTACAAGTAAGTTGGCCTGAAATATACCTAAGAAAGGCTCAGAATTCAAAGAAAGCCGTTTCCCCAGAAGTTTATAGAATAAGGTATAGTGAGAAACAAGAGTTGGAAGTCTGCATAAGGTGTTATTAGACTACCTGGTCCCTCTCTGTTGCTGCACAGCCAGGTGACTTAAAGTATCACCTTCCCCACACGAGAATGGAGATTTTACCCCTGAAGGAATCTAATCAATGAAGCATCATACTTCAAACAACATGTACCACAAGTGCAAAGGGCTCAGGGCAGGGAGGTGATGGAATGCAAACGGGAATGAGTGAGACTCTACATGCCGAGGAGGGACTTTCTGCTTCCAGTTCTAGAAGGCCTGCAGACACTAACATTGGGAATGCCTCTTATAGAAAAGACAGCTTTCTATCTGATCCCCTTGTGATAAGCTCCAGTCTTTGACAAGTCCTGGTCATGCACACAGAGCTTCCAAAATAATGCTTCTCAATGCCTTGTTCTCAAATACAAAGGGACAGTTGAGGTAGCTAGTGAATTGAGAAGAACCTTCACTATGAAAGGAAGAGATCTAAATAAACAGGGGTGGGGTGGGGAGGAAGTGGAGCAAATGAGAGAAAAGTAACATAATATAAAGAACAGACAAAACGGTTAAAAAAATCCTGGAAGTTAAAGAGAAGATATGACCTCTTAAAGGAGAACAACGTGCTCTATGAAATGAACACTAAGAGAACAACTAAAGCACTCTTGGAAATTCAGTATCTGCATTAAAACCATCAAGAGCAACAATGAAATATAAAGTTGAGGCGGTTTCTAGAATTTAATCCAAAAAGACATCTTCAAAAAACACTAGAGGAAACATTAGTCCAGAAGAACCAATGTCAAACTCATAGGAATCCCCGAAAGTAAAAATATTAGAGGGAAAATGGAGTGGAGGAAATTATCAAAGTAATAAGACAAGAAAATTCCCTGGTGAGTCCATTAAATGTTTAAAACAGGCCGGGTGCAGTGGCTAATGCCTGTAATCCCAGCCCTTTGGGAGGCTGAGACGGGCAGATCATCTGAGGTCAGGAGTTTGAGACCAGCCTGGCCAACATGGTGAAATCCTGTATCTACAAAAAATACAAAATTAGTTGGGCATGATGGTGCGCACCTGTAATCCCAGCTACTCAGGAGGCTGAGGCAGTAGAATCACATGAACCCAGGAGGCGGAGGTTGCAGTGAACTAAGATCG
The DNA here is from genome assembly GCF_000001405.40 of Homo sapiens. Lineage (NCBI taxonomy): Eukaryota > Metazoa > Chordata > Mammalia > Primates > Hominidae > Homo > Homo sapiens. Next base: position 32,199,841 of record NC_000008.11, on the reverse strand, counting down.
TGTCATTGCACTCCAGCATGGGCAAAAAGAGTGAAACTCCACTCAAAAAAAAAGTTTAAAACAATGAGAGAATTTTAAAAATTACTAAATTTTAGAATATTTGTAATAAAAGAATATCTAAGTAGTTTTCAGAGAGGAAACAAAATACAAAGGATTAGAAATATGTTATTGGACTTCTCAAAAACAACAGCAGAAAGAAAAAGAGTAGAGAAGTCTTCAAAATTCTGAAGAGAAATGACTTTCAATCTCTAATTTATGTTTAGCTCAAATACCAATCATATGTGAAAGACATTTCAGACAAGTAAGATCTAAGAGTTTATGTCTTATGTAGGCTAATTTAGAAGCTGCTGAAAAATATTCTAAATGGAGAGTAAAGGAAGGAAGTAGAAGGCATGAGATTTGGAAAACAGGGTAATTGTAAGATGAAGTCTCAGGATGATAGATGAGAAAAGTATCAGGGCTACACCTTTGCAGCCCACATAGAAAGTATCTAGCTGGAATTAAAGTATATAGCAGGAATGAAAGCAGAAAGTATCTAGCTGGAATTAGAGTATATAGCGGGAATGAAAGCAGAAAGTATCTAGCTGGAATTAAAGCAGAAGCTGAGGGCCCCCACAGAAAGGAGGATAAAGATGTGGCCATGAAAAACAAAATGAAACTAGGTTAACTCCATGGATAGGCATATGACAGACATTAGAATAAACAGGAAATTATCAACAGGCTTATAAAAAGCCAGACAAAAATCTGAAGCAATTATCAACTCCAGAAAAAAATAAAAGATTGTTCAAAATAAGCAGAGCGGTCATAGTCTACTACTTGGCTCTGCAGTGAACAATATTTTGAATCATACAATGTAAATACTAAATACAAGTAGCATAATATTGAAAGGATAGAAGGAAAGAAAGCTAGGTTTTCATAACAATGAAATAAGACATATAAATAAGATATATATATATATTAAGATATATGCAAGTTTTCAGAAACGTAGTAAATAAATGAACATTTTGTTCCTTTGTTTTCAAACTTTTAATCTCACTTTAGGAAAACAACATAGTTTAGGGGAAATGACAGGTTTAAGAATAAGAGAGCCCTGTCATTAACTAATTTAAAGTTAATTGATTAGAGCTTTGGATATGAGATTGACCTCAAAAACTTGGTGTAAACATCAAATGACATGTATAAAATCTCAGGAAGAAAGTAGGTGCACAGTAAATGGTTCCTCCTATCCTTTCTTTCAACTTTACCTAAATTTCTAGATGGTGGAGAAAGATCCATTATGAAAACATGTCATTTTCTAGCAATTGCTGCATTACATATCACCCTAAGGATAGCTTAGTTATCTGGATTAGAAAACAATGCCCTTGGGCCAGGCATGGTGGCTCACACCTGTAATCCCAGCACTTTGGGAGGCCGAGGCAGGTGGATTACCTGAGGTCAGGAGTTCGAGACCAGCCTGACCAACATGGCGAAACCCTGTCTCAACTAAAAATACAAAAATTAGCCCGATGTGGTGGTGGGCACCTGTAATCCCAGCTACTCGAGAGGCTGAGGCAGGAGAATTGCTAGGACCCAGGAGGCAGAGGTTGCAGTGAGCCAAGATCATGCCATTGTACTCCAGTCTGTGGGACAGGGTGATATTCTGCCTCACAAAACAAACAAACAAACAAACAAAAAAGGAAACAATAAAAAATGCCCTTCACCAAGTACAGGATGATCAAGCAATGGTCCTGCCAATTGGCATAAATATGAGCATTGTTGTTGTTCAACTAGCCAAAACATTGCCCAAATCCTCATGCAATATTTGGCCCAGGAATATTCATTCATCCTCAGGAGGATCCTGGATGGTGTGTGTGTGTGTGTGTGCGCGTGCATGCGTGTGTGTGCACATGCGCTTAGTGATCTAGAGTACAGGGGAAATGATCTGAGGATGTGGTTAGGTGACAATTTTTACCTAAGACTTGGCCAGGCAGTAGGACAAGCATTTGCAACCTTCTGCTTAAAATATCAGAAGGCTTTGCAAGTTCAAAATATGCAGAAGAGGGAGGGGATTGAGGGATGCATAAATAACAACTTCATTTAAGAAGCACCAAATATTAGGAAAGCAGTCTTGTATGACTTGACTCTGGCAAGCCCCCATTTTTGTTTGTTTAACTGAAATGACTGGCTTAAAGTCGGACAATAAGCCAACAGTCTAGGTACACCAAATGTTTATGGTTGTGTGACTTCTGAAAGGTTAAAACTGAAAGGAACCTTAGAGATGACCTGATCCAAGTTCTCACTTTCTGACGAAAGAAGCTGAATCCTCAGAGGTGATAAACGTTGCCAAAAGGCAAAAGGTCAGGCAACCTACGAGGCACATTTTGCCCAGGCTAGCCCCATGGGTGTGTAGGCAGCAATGATGAATTCAGTCACCAAATCAGCCTTTAAGAGAGAGCATGAAACAATAGGTGATGAGCCAAGGCCACCTCCCAGAGGTGAGGGTAAAAAGAAGGCTGCAAACACATCACCTTGCCTATGTGGGTGAACAAGAGAATGCACAGAAGGCTGTGATGTTCTTCCTTTCCAAGAAAGAATGTTCTAGGCTGGGCGTGGTGGCTCATGCTTGTAATCCCAGCACTTTGGGAGGCCGAGGCGGGCAGATCACCTGAGGTCAGGTGTTTGAGACCAGCCTGGCCATTATGGCGAAATCCCATTTTGTACTAAAAAATACAAAAATTAGATGGGGTTAGTGGTGGGCGCCTGTAATTCCAGCTACTCAGGAGGCTGAGGCAGGAGAATCGTTTGAACCCGGGAGGCGAAGGTTGCAGTGAGCCAAGATCGCGCCACTGCACTCCAGCCTGGGTGACAGAGTAAGACTCTATCTTAAAAAAAAAAAAAAAAAAAAAAAAAAAAAAAAAAGAATGTTCTGAGAACAGGCCTGGTAGAAAACCAGCTTTAGAAACATAAAATCTAGCAGTCTCATTCTAAAACACTCAAGGGAGCAAACATATAAAAAAAGATGAAATAGAATAATATCATGCTAGACTATAAGAGGAAGCCTAAGACTATGCCTTTGGTTCACAGACTTTGAGTATGTTGATTGAGACATACTACTTAACAACCCTGGCTTTATTTGAATGTGTTTGAAAAAGCCATTACTCTACAATGGAATGAAAGGTGAAGGCTTCTCTTGGAATTTTAAACTATTTTCTTGTTGGCATCCATCATTTGGAAACTAAGACTTTAATAAAAACTGCCTCCTTCTCTGTTCCCAGGGCTCTGCTGGAAATATTTCTGCTTTGGCTAGCACCCGACTGATTCAGAGACTGGATTCATTGTGTGAATTGGGCAGTCTTGTCTTCTCATCCTAGTTTATTTCATCTTTTCCATTTGCCATCAGTTATTCTGAGTCTAAACTTCTAAGCATAGGTGATGAAAATTTTCTTTAATCAGAAAGCCTTCCCTGACTAGTGGGAAGACAGCCTGCAGCTCTCAGCCCTCATGCTTCCGCTCTCATCAGCCTATCCCTACATACTTGCATGATTTCCTCTACCCTTCTTCCGTAATTGCTCTGAGAGTGGGACCTCCCCAGACCAGGGATCTCTGTTATCATGACTGTCTAGAGCACAGCCAAAGCAAGACACACAGTAGGCACTCAAACATTTGTTTAGTAAACTGTAAGTATGTGTACAGATCAACTGCTTTCCAATACACACACACACACACACACACACACACACACACTCATTGTTTTTACTGCACATTATTTGTACAGGCACTAACATAGTATTAGGTTAGTACAAAAGTAATTTACTAAATAACTAATACTATTAGTAACTAATACTATGTTAGTGCCTGTACTTTACATTTAAAAGTAATGGCAAAAATCACAATTACTTTTGCATCAACCTCTTCACTCATCTGACATTGCCAGGGACTGAGCCTTTCTATATCACTGAGTCATTCCAGGATCCTGTAACCCACTTCCTTAACTGGCAATACTAAGACCACTTGAACTGCTTTGAAGGGAATATCTTTCTTAAATATATTAAACAATTCCCTGACTTCCAAACATAGTATTCAATGTCTACGCTAGGATTTCAAGGTCATAATTATAATTATCGATAACTAAACTTTGTCAGTGAAACACTCAGAGACTACTGTGGTTTGGGAGATTATTTGTACCCACACCTAATGGCCTGATATTGCCATGCTTTTTTATTCTTTCATTTCCTTTTAATAGATTTTCTGATTCTGGTTCTATACTGTTGGCCTCTAATGTGGATTAGTAAACCAAACAGGTCAATATATGCAATATATGAGAATTATGTCAGATATAAATAGGCTTTGACTAAGAGCCAGAACCATGAGCTTTGATGTTGACCTATTTTAACTGCTTAGAGGGACATTTTTTTTTTTTTTTTGAGACAGGGTCTCACTCTTTCACCTAGGCTGGACTGCAGTGGCACAAGCAATGCTAACTGCAGCCTTGACCTCCTGGGGTCAAGTGATTCTCCCACCCCAGCCTCCTGAGCAACTGGGACAATAGGTGTGTACACTACAACAAGCTAAATTTTTTTAATATAGTTTTTGTAGATAGGGGATCTCACCATGTTGTCCAGGCTGGTCTCAAACCCCTGGGTTCAAGCAGTCCTCCCACTTCAGCCTCCCAAAATGCTGGGATTATAGCACCCAGCCTGCTCAGTGGCTTTTGATGGCTACTTCTTGTTCCCACAACAGATAATCCTAAAAGGTTACCCAAAGGAGTAACCTCCCCAAGTCTGAAGTGTTCCTGAAAATGCTATTGATCACAGTAAATGGTGTTGATGAAGTACCTTTCAAACAGTATTAAATAACTTACATATAGCTAAATCAATCATTCTAGTCACTTCCTAGGAATAAACTATATTTACTGAGATGTCAGTGATTTTATCAGCATATTTAGAAATCTTTTTTTCATAAAAATGTATGTTACAATTTTTTTTTCTCCTAAAGAATAACCTTCATCCTTGCAGTAGTCATCGGTTGGGTATTAATCTCTTTATTCAAAAAAGTAGAGTAAGAAGAGGAATCATAAGGGAAAGACTTCTTTTTAAAATGTTTCTCAGGTAAGATTGCTTTGGACCAATGGTTTCCATTGGTCTCACTTTTTACAAGTTTTGGAGCAAACACTACTCTCCAAATATTAAACAAAGCGATAGAGAAGCACATTCAGTGGGTATGGTGGTTTTGAATGCCATGGCCCTGGGGAATGTAAGTCACATCCTCATTCTTGTCCTCCCAGTGTCTACTGGGCTGAATTTTTATCCTGCCAGGGCCTGAAGAAGGCTGATATTTGCTTCTGCTAATAGTACATGGAAATAGGGTGGGATTGGATGATGTGTAAATGCATTCTGCCTAGAGAAATAGAGATGAGAGCTGAATCATCATGATGTGGCATGCCATTCTTGCTATTTAAAAAAAAATGTGAAAATGTTTAAACTCTGAGTTTTCCAGAGTTAAGTAAAATGTAAACTCTTGAATTTGAATAAAGTCATTTCTGCATGCATTTTATCCGCGGTTCAGATGATGTGTGGAACTTTCTTCTAGGGTCACTTACCTAATTTAGAGGACACCTAGGTGGATGGGTTTACTGCTAAACTGGGAGGAGCTGATGGGGACTTTCTGTCAGAAGCTTTCTAATTATAGAGCCCTTAAACAGCTAGGGGCTTTGGATTCTATTTTAGGGATGAGGAAACGGAGGCTTGGAGATGAGAGGGAACTGTATGCTAGATGAGCACATAAGAGTTGAGTCACCAAGCATATTCAATTCCAAGGGCTGTCATAACAAAGTCCCATGAATGGGGTAGCTTAAACCACAGACATGGTTGTCTTACTGCCCTGGAAGTTTGAGATCAAGGTGTCCACAGGGCTGCTTCCTCTGCAGGTGCTAGAGAAGGGCCTGTCCCAGGCCTTCCTGCTAACTTGCAGTAGCTCCTTGGCTTGTGGCAGCATAATTCCAGGCATCACATGGCATTCTTCCCTGTATGCATGTCTCTGTCTCAGTCTAAATTTCCCCTTTCTATAAAAATACCAGTCATATTGGATTAGATTCCACCCAAACAACTTCATTTTAACTTAATTACCTTTGTCAAGACACTACCTCCAAATAAGGTTCTATTCTGAGTTACCGGGGGCTGGGATTCTAACGTATCTTTTTGGCAGGGGGGCGGCATCACAATTCAACCCATAACACCGAGCCTCTACCAAATCCAGTTTCCCAACTCCCAGGCCAGAATTTGTTCTGCAATCACATGCTGCTGACGATGGTTTAACGTGCTTTTCTGAATACAAGCCCTCGGTTGCATCCTAAAGTCAAATGTAAATGACTTGGGGATTATTTCTTTAGCATCAGCACTCCATTAGTGTAGATAATTAAAAGTTGATTGTAGCAGGCATTATTTTTCATTTCTAAAAGCCTGCATTAAGATGGAATAACCATTTTCCTAGAAGGAATGGGCATAATCTATCACCCTGACACTGAGGAGAATTACACACACACACACACACACACACACAAAGGTAGAAAAAGAAAAGCACTATATCAATGTGATTCATTATCATCATCAACAGGGTCACTACTGCTGCACTGTGTTCACTTGCTATTATTTAACACCCACAAATAAAGGATCCTCCCCAGCCCTGGCTGTTCTGAAAAAGTACCTCAAATGACTAGTCCTGTCTTCCTAGGAATAAGACAAATAACAATGAAAAATACCAATATTAACATTCATCAGTTCATTCATTCATGATTCCACAAATATTCACTCAAAATATTCATTTATATATGCACCAGGCACTGATCTAGGTACCTAGGAAACATCAGAAAATAAACAGAGAACAATTCCTCCCCGTTGAGCTTACGTTCTTGTTAAATAAATGATGTACTATGTTGGAAGTCAGAAAAAAAAATAGAGTAAGGTAGGTGTATTGAATGTTTTGATGTGTGTATGGGAGTGTGTGTTTGTGTGTGAGTTTATGTGTGTAGGTGACTACAATTCAGGGTGGGGCACTACAAGGTGACATTTGAAGATGCCTTTTAAAAATCTATATGTTTTATGTTTTACTTACTTATTTTTTTCAAGTTTAATTCTAGATTCATTGGTACATGTGCAGGGTTGCTACTTGGTTATGTTATGTGATGCTTAGGTTTGGGATACAAATAATCCCATTACCCAACTACCGAGCATGGTACCCAATAGTTAGCTTTTTCACCCCTCCCACCTTCCTGCATCTAGTAGTCCCCAGTGTCTATTGTTCCCATCTTTACGTCCATGGGTACCCAATGTTTTGTGCCCACTTAAAAGTGAGAACACGTGGCATACGGTTTTCTCTTCCTACATTGATTTACTTAGGACAATGGCCCCTAACTACATTCATGTTGCTGCAAAGGACATGATTTCATACCTTTTGTATGGCTGCGTAGTATTACATGGTGTATACGTATCATATGTATACCTATCCACTGTTGATGGGCATCTAGGTGGATTTCATGTCTTTGTTATAGTGAATAGTGCTATGATGAGCATGTGAGTGCATGTATCTTTTTGGTAGAACAATCTGTGCTTTTTTGGATATATACCCAGTAATGAGACTGCTAGGTTGAATGCTTGTTCTGTGTTAAGTTCTTTGAGAAATCACCAAACTACTTTCCACAGTGATTGAACTAATTTATCACCCTGAACGTGCTTGATCTCAGCTGATCTCGGAAGCTAAGCAGTGTGAGGCCTGGTCAGTACTTGGATGAAGAAGGCTTGAAGGAAATAAGAAAGCGATCCCTGGGTGATCAGGTGAAGGAGTGTACCTATGACAGACCAGAGCCAGCAGAAAGGACCTGAAGTGGGTCCATGTCTGCTGTGCTCCAGAAACAGCAAGGGAGCCAGTGTGGCTATCAATGACTCTGATGGTGGAAGATCTGATTGTGTTGTACTCTGAGGCCAGGTCTGCTTAGGTTTGACATTTCAGCATGTGGGAGCTTCCTTGACTCTCTCTTGCCTCCAACTCTGAGATCCTTTGGAGCTGCCTTGGCTCTTTGTCCTGGCTGCTGGCCAACATTAAAATGGGCAGCAGTGTGCAACAGAAAGGGTAATGCTTTGTTACCAGGCCATACACTCTCTCCTCTGTCTTCCCCATCCCCATTTCCTGTCCAGTGAAATATCTGTAGTATTTTTAAAAATGCATTTATAGTTTAACCTAGCAGATCCAAACAGGTTGATCACATAACTGAAGCCTGTATTCTGCTAAGGAAGCAAGGAAAAATTTTCTCTTACGGCAAAAAAGCTTAACATTACATATGCCTATGATGATGTTTCATATGGCACAATTCTTACCAACATAGGAAGGGAAGAGTCGATTTACATCTAAGAAACTCATTGTAGGGTGACAACTTGTTATGGCCTCTCACATTTCTGTGTATCTTGTGAACAGAAGATCTAATAACTTTGGGCCAGGTGTGGTGGCTCATGCCTGTAATCCCAGCACTTTGGGAGGCCAAGGCAGGAGAATCACTTGAGGTTAGGAGTTCGAGCCTGGCCAACATGGTGAAACCCTGTCCCTGCTAAAAATACAAAAACTAGCCAGGCATGGTGGTGGGTGCCTGTAATCCCAACTACTCAGGAGGCTGAGGCAGAAGAATCTCTTGAATCCATGAGCCAGAGGTTGCAGTGAGCTGAGATCATGCCACTGCACTTTAGCCTGGGTGACAGAGTGAGACTCCAACTCAAAAAAAAAAAAAATCTAATAACTGATAACTTTGTTCCAGGCAATTGTTTCAAGAATTGTTTGCACAGTGAACATCTATGGGAAGACAGAAGTATTGTCTCCAACTGGAGCAAATGGATGTTTGTCTACTATCCAGTATAAAAAACATGTCTTTATCTGGACCAAAGTACTGCCTATTATAAAATTTGGGGGTACCCTAAACTCAACTCTCCCCTATTACATCTGCAGGCATTGTCTGGCCCTCTTCCCTTTGCCCCATGGGACTTAAATTTTAGGGACTGGCATAAATGCTGGTATTCTGCTATCCTGTAGCAATAAACTATCCTTCATCTCTGACCCAGGAATCTTGTATCTTCTGCCAGCATTCATGTGGTAGACTTACTCATTAGGTTGCAAATACGGTAAAATCACAGTTCTGGTATCCACTAATAAGGATTATCAGGAAGCCTAGAATAATAAATGACTGTACTCATAGAGACATTTCAAGGGAAACACCATCCCGATAGCTGTTTTGGTCATGAAATTTTATAGGAGTTTGAAGATTGCTTGCTCTTCAGAGTACTTAATAAAAATAGAGTTGAGAGCACTATGTGTGAATTGCTCACAACTTTGCACAGCCTGTTGTTGTATGGGTAAAACCGGAAAGATGAACTGGGACCTCACAGCTGTTGCCTTTATTTGCTCAAGAAAAAGCTCAGGATTTGGATTTGAGTACAGAACAGAGTGAACCAGAAGTGTTGCTGAGATCAAATTAATATGATAATTTGGCTACAGAGGCTGTCAAGATCATCTTGAAGTCTGTTGGGCAGTTAGAAATATTGTCTCCTTTATTATAAAGAGTGGCAGAAAAAATATCTAGAGGAGAGCAATTTTTTAAAAAAGAAAGAGTAAATAGAAAAAAATTAATAATAATAATAATAATAATAATACATTTTGATAAAAGGATTTAGGCAGACTCCTAATGCTTTCTTAGTGCAGGAACATGACGATACAGTCAATTTGTAACTTATTTTCCTAAACAATGTTGACAAATGTTTATTCAAATAAATTACTGTATTCTTCCCAACTGATTTACTTCGTCAGTTTTGAATAGAGAAGAAGGACTGAAATGTACAAAGACAAAGGTGTAGGAGAGGCAGTTTATAATTCAACAGAATGTATCATTCATTTAACATGAGCACTGATGATGTCTCCTACAAAATAATAATCTACTAGATCCTTCTATAACCATGTGTCTAATGCCAATCTAGCACTAATGAAAACTCCAGTGATTGGTAGAAGACTATATGGCCAAATGAGGTTCTCAGAGGAACACAGTGAAATATCAATAAATGTGGTGATATTTCTAAGGACTCAGGGGGGCCAGTTAGCAGTAAGCCTTAACGATATGGGGCCACTCACTAAGAGGGCCACCAAATTGTATAAGAGGAAAGAAATAAAATCAAATTTAGTATCTTTGGGCAGCCCCACCCTGATAGGCATTATCCCAGACATTTTATAGTTGCTTTCTTATTTCATTCTCTCTTAACCCCATAAGGTAAATATTATTATGTCCATTCTACAGATAAGGATAATAAGGCTAAAGAAATTTACCAATTGCACATTACTAATCAGATGTGGAGCCAGGACCGTGCTCTGTTAGGTTCTACATACCATACCAATTTTGACTTTATCTATTGTGCTAGTTTTCTATTGCTCCATAAGTAATTACCATAAAGGCTTAAAAACACAGGTTGATAAGCAAATTAACACAGAAACAGAAAATCAAATACTACACGTTCTCACTTATAAGTGGGAGCTAAACATTGGATACACATGAACATAAAGATGGGAACAACAGACACTGGGGACTACTGAGGGGGAAGACGGAAGGGGGCAAAAGCAGGAAAACTACCTACTGGGTACTAGCTCACTATCTAGGTGATGCCATGTAACAAACCTGTACATGTAACCCCCTGAATCTAAAGCAAATGTTGAAATCTTTTACAAGAAAAACACAGGTTATCTTACAGTTCTACAGGATAGAAGTTTGACACAGGTCTCCCCAGGCTAATATCAAGATGCCATCCAGGGTTGCATTACTTTTTGGAGGTTCTAGGGACCTCTAATTCACTTCCTTGACTTTTTTTTAATTTTATTATTATTATACTTTAAGTTTTAGGGTATATATGCACAATGTGCAGGTTAGTTACATATGTATACATGTGCCATGCTGGTGTGCTGCACCCATTAACTCATCATTTAGCATTAGGTATATCTCCTAATGCTATCCCTCCTCCTCCCCCCACCCCACAACAGTCCCCAGAGTGTGATGTTCCCCTTCCTGTGTCCATGTGTTCTCATTGTTCAAGTCCCACCTATGAGTGAGAATATGCATAGCCCACATGAAGAGGAAGCACACGGCCTCCTCCTCTTGTCTCTGATACCAGCGACATTTCTTTAACCATTCTTCCTTAGTCACATCTTACTCTGTCTCTCTTCTTCTGCCTCCCTCTTCCACTTTTAAAGACTCCTTGGAATACATTGGGTCCACATGGATAAACCAGGATGATCTTCCTATCTGCTGATTAGCTATTTTAATTCCATCTGCAGTCTCCCTTCCCCTTCGCCATGCAATGTAGCATATTCTCACAGGTTCTGGAGATTAGGCCATGGACATCTTTGGCAGGAGCATGTCTTGTCATTATTTGCCTACTAGACCAGCCAAAGTAATCTGAGTGTCAAAATCTATAATCCAGCTGGGCGTAGTGGTTCACGCCTGTAATCCCAGCTCTTTGGGAGGCTGAGGCAGGTGGATCACTTGAGGTCAGGAGTTTGAGACAAGCCTGGCCACCATGGTGAAACCCTGTCTCTACTAATAATACAAAAATTAACTGGACATGGTGGTGAATGCCTGTAATCCCAGCGGCTGAGGAGGCTGAGGCAGGAGAATAGCTTGAACCTGGGAGGTGGAGGTTACAGTGAGCCAAGAGCACACCATTGCACTCCAGCCTGGGAAATCCAGTGAGACTTCATCTCAAAAAAAAAAAAAATCTATAATCCTAGAGTAAAGATATCTGAATAAGACATTATCTTGCAGCTAAGATGCTCCAGTCATTTCTTGCTCTTCCCTGAGAGTGTCGACCTTCAGAGATGTATTTTATGTAATATCTTAAATGTGTGAACAAACTCCTCTGCACTGGCATACCAAGGAGGAGGTGGGAGTGGGAGCATGTTGCCCCAAGTGCAGGCACTAAGTGGGTACGTTGTCTTTAGAGATTTAAAAACAAGAATAAAACTGGCTAAAAGCCAATCTGCTTTCTGCTATCAACATGTGCTGGTAATTCTAAGCCTGTTAGTAAGATTTTTTTTTTTTCTTGGCTGGACTGCTTTGCGCCACCCCTCCTCTACCTTAATATGCCTCTGCTCCCCCAGAAAAGCCATCCCCTTCTTTCTTGATAGTGAAGTGACTTATTCGGCAGTGACTTTAGCCTAAGTGCAGCATAAAGTCTTGTGAAACAAGATGAATGCTTCACAAATCACAGACATGTCTCCTTGTGCAGGAAGCAAACCTCCAGTGAGACTTATGGAGGGTGATGCCCTGACTCCAGGGATCATCTTTTGTCATTTGTCCTTGAGTCAGAGCTCTCAATAACTCTTTTATTCAGAAACTATAGGTTAACGAAGTTAAAAATGCTTGCCCTTAATTATTTAGATAAATAATTCAGGATTAAGTGTCATAAGGAAAGGGCTCTCCTATTCCTCAGGTCCCCGGTAACATTTAACACACCATGCATGCTGACCCCAAAGAACTACGCCATGGAAATCAAAATCAGCATTGGTGGGCAGGCAAATACCAGCTCACTAATGCGCCCACTTTTAACCCTTACTAAGTCTTCATGAAAACAAAATAAAAATGTTAAGAGCATGATGGTATTCACAATAGAAGTGACATTTAATATTCAACCTGTCCCAATTCCATTGCCACTTTAATTAACACATTCTATGCTTCACTGAAAAATTACAGCCATGGATGTCCTGTTAAGCAATGAAAACACTGTGAAAAATTTGAACATTCAGTCATTCAAAGCTGCATGGCAATGTGGAAAGAGGGCCAACCTATGATAAAGGGAGAGACTGCAGGCAGCCCAACATGCTCAGTAGGGGGAAGTCTATGATTTAGCTTTCCTGGGCATCTTTGGACCTGTGTGTGGTAAAGACCAGGCACAGAAATAGCTAAGGTTCTGACTGTGGAACTCTCCAGAAGTAGCCTAAATAGGGCAGAGAGGCTGGGCTGGGAGAGGCAGAAACTGTGCTAAGTCAGCTCCCAAGATTAAGATGATCATAGCAGACTTCAGACAGTTTCCAGCTGTGCTTCTCAAACTTTACTGTACCTCTGAATCTCCAAGAGATCTTGTTAAAACACAGATTCTAATTCAGTAGGTTCTAGGTAGGGCCTGAGATTCTGCTTTTCTTACAAGCTTCCAGGACGGACCCCACTTTGTGTGGTGAGAATCTGCATCTCCACATCTCCAGTGTGCCACCAGCAGCAGAGAAGGGGCTGAACTGTAATATGTGTTGAAATTCATGACCCTACAATGCGAATCATTTCTTTCTTTCTTTTTTTTTCTTTTTCTTTCTTTTTTCTTTTTTTTTTTTTTTTGAGACGGAGTCTCGCTCTGTCACCCAGGCTGGAGGGCAGTGGCGCCATCTCGGCTTACTGCAAACTCCGCCAGCTGGGTTAACGCCATTCTCCTGCCTCAGCCTCCTGAGTAGCAGGGACTACAGGGGCCCACCATCACGCCTGGCTAATTTTTGTATTTTTAGTGAAATGGGGTTTCACTGTGTTAGCCAGGATGGTCTCGATCCCCTGACCTCATTACCACCCACCTCAGCCTCCCAAAGTGTTGGGATTACAGGCGTGAGCCACCGCACACGGCCTTGTGTTTCATTTTAGAAGAGAAAAATCAGTTTCTCAAATTGTACATAATAGCTAGGCCAAATAGCATTAGATATGAGTTTAATAGCCAGAGGTTTTCTGTCACAGCTTTTGGTAACAGCATAGCCATTAGCCACTATACTTTGAGGAAAATGCTTTGGCTTCTTATGGAGTAACTTCTATAAGATCTAACCTCAGAACAGTAATTGCAGAGACAAAAACATTTTGAAAATCTGTCTGAAGAAGAATTTTCTTAGGATTATCAAGAATCACTTCTGTAAGAAATCCAGGATGGCATACAATTAAACTCAGTAACTTTTATAATAAATTAATGAAGAAATTTTCATTATTTCACTGGAGAAACTGTAGCTATAGGATTATAATAGCCTTAGTCATGGAATTATTAACTGTTCCCATGGGTTTTCACTGGTGAGATCAGGCCAAGAAGTCAATGCATGACAAAGTGTGACTAGAGGAGAGATGAACAAAAGTTGAATGAACATTTTACTGGATACAAAGTCAACCGGAATTATACTTACAGCTTCACTCTCTATTATTCTATGATGGTGGACACATCATTTAGACTGCCCGGACTACTGTTTTTCCCCCATAGGTAAAATAAACATAACAATTATTCCTTCTTTTGCAATGCTGTTGTCTTGAGAGACCACCTATGAACAATTGTGCTATCGTAACCTTATTCTCAGTTTAGCTTTGGTCTAGCCCCTAATAGCCACTAGAACCTAGTTTGAGACAGAGGCAAAATGTAAAGATCACTTCTTAAGTCATATTCAAGATGGCTCTAGCATGATGGGAAGGAAGAAAGAATTCAGAGGTAATAACGGTAATATTAATACATCCTATTAAGGAAGAAAGAATTCAGAGGTACTAACAGTAATATTAATACACCCTGTTACCTGTTTACAGAAATAATTGCCTTTACTGCTATATTCACGGTGTTATGGTTCTGCAGGTTAATGCCTCAAGTACTGAAGATGTGTGCATGCATATTTGTGTGTGTTTGTGTGTGTACGCATGCACACATGCATGAGCACCCACGGGAGTGTGGAGTAAGAACTTAGAAGGATGAAAGAAGATTTTCCCCAGAGTAAACAGGCTTAGGAAAAATGACAAATATACTATGGAATTTCAATCATTCATTTACACACAAAAGTCTCCAGAATGTCATCTACAAGGCAGGACCACAGAAAGAAGAGTCTCTCTGAGAATTTCACCACTCATGGCTTCCCTTGATGCTACCAAGTCCTTAACTAAAAACAACTTCTAAAGACTTCCCAAGGAAGTATCCTTGGAAGCCCACAACCTAGGTATCTTAACTTTATGTGCAAGTAAGTCTCACTGCCATTCTGAAAATTAAACACATGCTTATACTTTGGGAAGGACTTTTAAATCTTTAAGTTGTATCCCTACTTGTAATAAAAATCAGAAGAGTATAGATGATACACTATAATGGAACAGCTCTAACCATTAAAGCATAAAACAAGTATATTTCTTTTAAGGAAAATGTCTTTAGCTCTACTACATATTTGTTCAATCACCAGATGCTTTCCTTATTTTTTTTTTCACAAAACTAAACATATATTAAAAAAAAATAGTAGCTATCTCAGTTTAAATGTTATCCCATTGGAAATCATGTCTATCAAAATCCCTGAAATGTTATAGGCTGTAACAAAAACTCTCCTATCAACACAATACCATTTCATAATAAATTTATGGTAAGTGAGAATGTATTCGGGGTATATGCTGGGCCTTGATTTTGTTTGGCCTCAGCAAAACTAACACTTCAAAATATTAGGCTCTGAGATTTTTGTCTAAATGTACCTTCAGGAAAATAGGAAAATTTTATCACTTTCAAGGAGTTATAAGTAAAGTGTCAAAATAAACTTTTATAGCAGATACTGTGTGAAGTGCTCATATGCTATTTCTATCTTCTTATACCACTGCCTGAAATCATAAAGACAAATAAAATGAAAGTGAAGAATATATTATACACATATATGTACATGTACTCTCTCTATATATCTATATATATCATATATATTTACGTGATCTATATATACACACACACACACATACATATATAGTACTGTGTGTGTGTATGTGTATTGTGTGTATACATAATGGGGAATTGCTATTTTTCCAAGATTCTATCACATTCTAAACTATATACCCTAGTTGTGTAAGAAAATAATGACTTGAATCAACACAACTGAAACTACACAAGGGTTAAAGGAAATAATTGTGAATGCCCCAAGAAGAGAGATGGGCTGAGTTAGGCTTCTTCCTGTATCAGGAGCTTTGATTCTCAGCTCATCTTCTAAGGACATGCCACCTGAACATTAAAGAGCTGCAGAGCCTATCTGAAGTGGCTAATGAGACCTGGAGGAGTGTTTTCTTATCTCTTACCTGATTTATGGGTAATAAGCTTCTTGTAGGATGGGCACTCCTATCCCAAACATAAGTCTACTCCAGGACTCTAATTTGAGATTAATGAAGACCAAATTTATTAACCTGAAGGCTATTAGTGGCTGGCACTTGGTTGGTTGATTCCTGTTTTGTGAGAATGTTAAATCAGAAAATTTAGTGATGTTAATATTGGTGGGAGGCCCCAGAGACAATGCTGAACGTTCACTTGTTGAAATTTACATGCGTTCACTGGCTGTCACTATCGATTTGACTTAGCTGCTTCATCTTTCTAATCCCTGCAGCATTTTGCCTTTGGCAGAGCTGTAAGACTTGAACAGAAAAAGAAAAGAAAAATTGGAATACATTTTCTGGTTAGAACCAAAAAAGAGAGGAAGACAGAAGGAGACGGGAACAGGAAGAAAGTGACTTGACCTTAAGTCCTTGGGAGCATAGAAAAGTCCCGCCCCACATGTAGCAAGGTTAGAAATCTTGGCCTTTGTGACTCATAAATCCCCTGTCTTCTCAATGTGCATTTCTAATAAAGGGCTAGTCTTCAGTTAGAACGCACGTTCTACAAGGAAAGAATGTCATACCAGCCCAGCTCCACCATCCAGCAACTGTGATGGAAACTTATCTTGCCTAGAATCCCTAGAATGTAATGGAGTTCTTTCCTTCCCCTTTTAAAATGAGAAATCTAACTATGGTATTAAAAATGAACAAGTTGATAATTATAATTCTTTTCCAAATATTTCATAGGCATATGACCTCATTTATCCTCACAGTTTTTCATTGTAATTTTTCTCTCCCCATTTCCTTGATAGAAATAAATTTTACGGAGGAAAAATGAAACGTTTTGAAATTTTTTAAAGTAAAGCAGGAATGACCTACTTCAGCAATACTGATACTCTTTTATTTTGATGACTCTCTGCCTAAAAAGTATTGCTAAAGCATAGGAGATTTTTTTTTCACAGCAAAAAATATAAACCATAGTGGGCTGGTATTAACACTGTTTTGTAAAGATTTTATATTAATTAAAATACATAATTAGAAGAATTTTGTAATCACCTGCCTTTTCCCAAGACAAAATAGGAGGGAAGAGAGGTCAGTGGAAGGTGAGAGAAAGAGAGAGACAGTGAGAGTGCGAGAATTAGCTGGATTCTTGATCGACCACACCAGACTTCCTTTGGGCCTACTGACTGTGAAGCCTGTGGGGCCAGGTGCAGTGGCTTATGCCTCTAATCCCAGCACTTTGGGAGGCTGAGGCAGGCATATCACCTGAGGTCAGGAGTTGGAGACCAGCCTGGCCAACATGGTGAAACTCTGTCTCTACTAAAAATACAAAAATTAGCTGGGTATGGTGGCGCATGCCTGTAATCCCAGCTACTCAGGAGGCTGATGCAGGAGAGTTGCTTGAACCCAGGAGGCAGAGGTTGTGGTGAGCCGAGATCCCACCACTGTATTCCAACCTGGGTGACAGAGCGAGACTCTGTAGAAAAAAAAAAATTGTGTATCATTTTCCACAGGTTCCAGTTCTCCATACTCCTCTCTGTGTTTTTTCCTTTCTGATTCTCTGTGCTTATTATCAGAACCCATGCCATGTTATTATTCATCAGAGGCTGTGCCCAGCTCCTCTTTTTCATAATGGCTGAAACCTCACAACAGCCAACCTCAGCTGATCCTTGCTGGCTGACTTCATATGGAACTGAATTAGGTAATATGGAAGTAGAATTTTACACTTGAATAGTAGTTAATTCATGCTACTTACTGATAAGTTTAATACATTTAGACTAACTCAAATAATTTTTTTCTGTAAGCACAATTTTTTTTACTGTTAGTTAAGGTTATTTATAATCTCCCAGCACATTATTCAGAATACTTGCCTTGTAAACAACTAATATTCCATTGCCAGTTTTTTTTTCAGTTATAAATAGAAATACTTATTTTTGTGCTGGTGATCTCTGTAATACATTTTTATCTAACAATGCAATTAATTGTTGTTTGTATGTTTATAAAGTATTAAAATATCTTGAAGATTCAGTTATAAATCAATAGCTGTGACTTCATGAGAGATTAAGTGTGCACCAGGGCAGAATAAAAGGTTAAGACTATGCCAAGAAGACACTGCTGGAAGCACATCTCTTATTAAAGGTCAGGACTTGGACACTGTGCCCCTTGTAGAAGTGAATAAATAACATTCAGGTCTTTGTATTACTGGTAACCTGGAAAAACTTACCAGAAGCTGTCTAGAGTTTTAATTCACTTATTAAACAAGTATTTATTGTGTGCCTGCATATGCCAGACACTGTCCTGGATACAAAGGAAATAAAAGAGAATAAAGTATAGAGATATTTACAAAGAAGAGAGCAATACAGAAAAACTAATAGTGATAATAAATGGATATTTCATAACAGAGAGTGAATGAAACTATAGGAAGAAGGGTAGATAAGTGAGTCTAGTGAATTTAGAAAAAGTTCTATGGAAGAGATGGGTATTTGATTTGAGTTTCAAAGCACAAAGGACTAATAACTAGCTGGAGTTCTTAATCTGGGATCTAGAGATCCTCCCAAGCATCTGTGGATAAAATACAGAGGATCCAAGGGCTTGGACCATAAGAAACTATTCACACATTTCTTCTTTCTGAAAAACTAACTGCAAATTAGAATTTCCACTGAGTTTGAATGTAGGCACCAAAACCACAGTAATATGAACAGCACCATTACATTAAGTGAAAGAAGCTAAGCACAGAAGACAAATACCACATAATCTCACTTACATGTGGAATCTAAGAAAGTTGAACTCATAGAAGCAGAGAATAGAATGGTGGTTACTCAGGACAGAGAGTGGTGGAAGGAGAAAATGCAGAGATGTTGGTGAAAGGGCACACAACTTCAATTGGGGGAATAATTCTAAGAGGACTATTTACAAAATGCTAACTATAGTTAAAAAAACAATGCAGCACACAGTCAAAAATTGCTAGGAGAGTGAATTTTAAGCAGTCTCACCACAAAAAATAACTATGTGAGCTAATGCATATGTTAATTACTTTGATTCAGCCATGCCACAATGTATACATATAGCAATGTGCTGTACACCATAAATATACATATATATGTTTTATTAATTAAAATTTAAATAATTTTAAACAAAATAAAACAAAAATATTAACAGTACTTGTGATTTTTGTCACCAATAGAAACCACAGACATACTGAAATAATAAGTTATTAGCCCTGTTAGTAGATCTTGTTACTTAATGCACCTAAAGAAGTTCATTTATTACTATATCACAATTATTAAAATATTTAAGCTATTTTTCAATTTAATTGACATTCTTTGTAATCTGATGTATTTTAAACATGCATTTAAAGACACTATCCTGAGTAAAATCCCTGGGCACCTCTGGAATGCCAAAGGAGTCTATGGCACCAAAAATATTTAGGACCCTGGATTAGATTGTTTAGCTGGAGAAAATTGGAAGGGTAATTTGTGCAGTTATAGAATGCATCTGCAAAAGTCTGCCAAAGCGTAGAGAATGAGATGTGTAAGAGAAACGAAGATTGTTTTAGGGAGAATTGCAGAAACCACCAATCCAAAAATATCTGGAAGCAATATATTAAAAAGACCTGAGAAGGAATTAGATGGTTCTTTGGCAAGGCAAAACATTTTTACCTGACAAAAACTGAATAAAGAGTATTAACAAATAAAAGAGTAAGAAAAGACTCAAAACAAAATATATGCTCAGGTTTAAAAAATGGAAGTATAGAAGAGGAATGGCATTAGAATGGAGGCTGATTTGTGCGGGGTTTGTATACATCTTTAGTTGCCTGTTGGACTTCAAACCTTCGTGTTTAGTCCTTGAAAAAAAAAGATTTAAAAATTGTAAATTACAAAGATGCTCCGATTAAATGCAAAAAGTAGAAACTAAATACTATAACCATAGGAAGGACTTCTACTAGAGGAAAGTAAAATGATACAAGGCACTTATGCTTCAAAGGAAGGAAGATCAAGGTCCACTGTCAATGTCATTGCTCAGACTACAGTCTTGGCTAGTAGACACCAAACACTTTCTGAATATTAAAGATAGACTGTTCAGCTGGAACTTGGTAATAGAGAAACTACATGTTCTAATATAGTTGAAAGTTGAAAAGTCCTGTTACAGAGGGTCAGTAAATAGTATGCAGGAATTGAAGCAAGGTACCTAAAGCTTCAAGAAATTCAGCCAAGTTACTTAATGGACATGACATCAAATGCTTTTGCAGCATTTACTATGTTCTCAGCAAAAAGAAGCTTCTCACTTTTCTCAAATAAATAGACGAAAATCCTTCAGTAGTAGAAACAAATGGTAATTTCCTGGGAGATGTCTCCCTTCTTGTATTTCCCTGGGGGTAAATTGTCTTAGGCAGAAACGTATTGCTACACACAGTGGATGTGTTGTTGTCAGGGAGGTGAAGCGTCTTTTCTTGCCACTTCCGCATCAGGAGCAGCTCTCTGAGCTCTGTCCCTAACTTGTCTCCAATTCTACTGGATATAGGCACTCCCTCCTACTTTTTTTTTTTTTTTTTTTTTTTTTTATGACTGTGAGACGTTGGGAAGAAGGAGTGAAAGGCTGTGGAGCAAACCACCTCACAGAGCAGCTCATTCCTCTGCCTAACTTGTTCACCCTCCCCTGATCCTACACCCTTGCTTTTGAGTAATGAGTCTGAAATCATAGCCGAGCTATGAAATGGATCTGCAGAAACCAAATGTACATCTCTACTTAAAATGTCAAAAGAGCATGTGGTTCTTCACATGGCATTGAGAATCGAGATCCTGATTGCTTTCTTATGTCCATCAGTTTCTATCATTTTCTACAACGGTGATTTTTTTTTTTAGGACAGAAAGAAGTCTTATATGTTTCATGTGTAAGTCAATCCTGACTCCTCCCTCTTCTTCACTTTCAAACTTAATAAATCACCAAGTTTTATCGAACCTACCTCCTAAATGTATCGCTAACTTGTATATTCCTCTCCACTCTTACTACCAATGCCACCACCACATAGAATTTGCCTAAAGTACAGCAGCAGCTTCTGGCATGGCCTCCTGGACTCTGACTTTGCCCATGGACAGTCTATTCTCCACCCAAAAGCCAGAATGATCTTTCTATTTTTTTGAGACAGAGTCTCACTCTATCACCTAGGCTGCAGTGCAATGATGCAATCTTGGCTCACTGCAACCTCCACCTCCAGGGTTCAAGTGATTCTCCTGCCTCAGCCTCCAGAGCAGCTGGGATTACAGGCTTGCACCACCACACCCAGCTAATTTTTGTATTTTTAGTAGAGACAGGGTTTCACCATATTGGTCAGGCTGGTCTCTAACTGCTAACCTCAAGTGATCTGCCTGCCTCAGCCTCCCAAAGTGCTTGGATTACAGGGGTGAGCCATCGAGCCTGACCAGGGTGGTCTTTCTTAGTCACTGCCCTTTACCTAAGTTGTCCTTGACCTTCAGAATGAAATGGGAATTCCTTAACCTAAAATAGAAGACTATTAACTGATCTCTGACTCTACCTCTAGTTTCATTTCTCATTAGTCCTTCTCTCAATCTAAGTAACCATTCCACAAAATTTATTTTGACCCTGCTGACATGGAGTTTTTCGGAATTCTGGGTCTTTTAGCATGGAGTTTTTCAGAATTCTGGGCCTTTTATTTCTTCTCCTATGCTTCCCCCTCCCCTTGCCTTGCCCTCTTTTCCTGATGAATAACCCTCATTCTTCAGATTACAATTCCAGAGAGCCCTCCTCCTTCAACAATCCTCCTGATTCAATGAGTAACACAGGTAGAGCATTCTATCACTGTACACAACAAAGTCCTTTTGCAAGTGTTGCTTCCTTTCTCTTCCTTCTCGGTCTGTGCAAGGCACCACACCCCCTGCAAACTTCTCAATTATTCAATAGCACAAGCAGAAAGAGATGTATAAGGAAATCATTTAAATCAGCCCACCTATAGAACATGCTGAAATGGTCCCATGATTTTTTTTCATGCAAAGTGGTTTATTTTGATGGATTTAGGTCTAAAGCCTTGTTTAAAAATATTTAAGTATAATCATCCGCAGCAAACTAACATAGGAACAGAAAACTAAATACCGCATGTTCTCACTCATAAGTGGGAGTTGAACAATGAGAACACATGGACACAGCGAGGGGAACATTACACATCAGGGCCTGTCAAGGGATGGGGGGAAAAGGGAGGCAGAGCATTAGGACAAACACCTAATGCATGCAGGTCTTTTATATTTTAATTTTTTTATTATAATTTAAGTTTTAGGGTACATGTACACAACATGCAGGTTAGTTACATATGTATACATGTGCCATGTCGGTGTGCTGCACCCATTAACTCCTCATTTAACATTAGGTATACCTCCTAATGCTATCCCTCCCCCCTCCCACCACCCCACAACAGGCCCCAGTGTGTGATGTTCCCCTTCCCGTGTCCATGTGTTCTCATTGTTCAATTCCCACCTATGAGTGAGAACATGTGGTGTTTGGTTCTTTGTCCTTGCGATAGTTTGCTGAGAATGATGGTTTCCAGCTTCATCCATGTCCTTACAAAGGACATGAACTCATCATTTTTTATGGCTGCATAGTATTCCATGGTGTATATGTGCCACATTTTCTTAATCCAGTCTATCATTGTTGGGCATTTCACTTGTTTTCAAGTGTTTGCTATTGTGAATAGTGCCACAATAAACATATGTGTGCATGTGTCTTTATAGCAGCATGATTTATAATCCTTTGGGAATATACCCAGTAATGGGATGGCTGGGTCAAATGGTATTTCTAGTTCTAGATCCCTGAGGAATCGCCACACTGACTTCCACAGTGGTTGAACTAGTTTACAGTCCCACCAACAGTGTAAAAGTGTTCCTATTTCTCCACATCCTCTCCAGCACCTGTTGTTTCCTGACTTTTTAATGATTGCCATTCTAACTGGTGTGAGATGGTATCTCATTGTGGTTTTGATTTGCATTTCTCTGATGGCCAGTGATGATGAGCATTTTTTCATGTGTCTTTTGGTTGCATAAATGTCTTCTTTTGAGAAGTGTCTGTTCATATCCTTCACCCACTTTTTGATGGGGTTGTTTGTTTTTTTCTTGTAAATTTGTTTGAGTTCACTGTAGATTCTGGATATTAGCCCTTTGACAGATGAATAGATTGCAAAAATTTTCTCCCATTCTGTAGGCTGCCTGTTTACTCTGATGGTAGTTTCTTTTGCTGTGCAGAAGCTCTTTAGTTTAATTAGATCGCATTTGTCAATTTTGGCTTTTGTTGCCATTGCTTTTGGTGTTTTAGACATGAAGTCCTTGTCCATGCCTATGTCCTGAATGGTATTGCCTAGATTTTCTTCTAGGGTTTTTATGGTTTCAGGTCTAACATTTAAGTCTTTAATCACCTTGAATTAATTTTTGTATAAGGTATAAGGAAGGGATCCAGTTTCAGCTTTCTACATATGGCTAGCCAGTTTTCCCAGCACCATTTATTAAATAGGGAATCCTTTCCCCATTTCTTGTTTTTCTCAGGTTTGTCAAAGATCAGATGGTTGTAGATATGCAGCATTATTTCTGAGGCCTCTGTTCTGTTCCATTGGTCTATATCTCTGTTTTGGTATCAGTACCATGCTGTTTTGGTTACTGTAGCCTTGTAGTTTGAAGTCAGGTAGCATGATGCCTCCAGCTTTGTTCTTTTGGCTTAGGATTGACTTGGCAATGCAGGCTCTTTTTTGGTTCCATATGAACTTTAAAGTAGTTTTTTCCAATTCTGTGAAGAAAGTCATTGGTAGCTTGATGGGGATGGCATTGAATCTATAAATTACCTTTGGCAGTATGGCCATTTTCATAATATTGATTCTTTCTACCCATAAGCATGGAATGTTCTTCCATTTGTTTGTATCGTCTTTTATTTCATTGAGCAGTGGTTTGTAATTCTCCTTGAAGAGGTCCTTCACATCCCTTGTAAGTTGGATTCCTAGGTATTTTATTCTCTTTGAAGCAATTGTGAATGGGAGTTCACTCATGATTTGGCTCTCTGTTTGTCTGTTATGGGTGGATAAGAATGCTTGTGATTTTTGTACATTGATTTTGTATCCTGAGACTTTGCTGAAGTTGCCTATCAGCTTAAGGAGATTTTGGGCTGAGACAATGGGGTTTTCTAGATATACAATCATGTCATCTGCAAACAGGGACAATTTGACTTCATCTTTGACTACCTGAATACCCTTTATTTCCTTCTTCTGCCTGATAGCCCTGGCCAAAACTTCCAACACTATGTTGAATAGGAGTGGTGAGAGAGGGCATCCCTGTCTTGTGCCAGTTTTCAAAGGGAATGCTTCCAGTTTTTGCCCATTCAGTATGATATTGGCTATGGGTTTGTCATAGATAGTTCTTATTATTTTGACATATGTCCCATCAATACCTAATTTATTGATAGTTTTTAGCATGAAGAGTTGTTGAATTTTGTCAAAGGCCTTTTCTGCATCTATTGAGATAGTAATATGGTTTTTGTCATTGGTTCTGTTTATATGCTGGATTACATTTATTGATTTTCGTATGTTGAACCAGCCTGGCATCCCAGGGATGAAGCCCACTTGATCATGGTGGATCAGCTTTTTGATGTGCTGCTGGATTCAGTTTGCTAGTATTTTACTGAGGATTTTTGCATCGATGTTCATCAGGGATATTGGTCTAAAATTCTCTTTATTTGTTATGTCTCTGCCAGGCTTTGGTATCAGGATGGTGCTGGCCTCATAAAATGAGTTAGGGAGGATTTCCTCTTTTTCTATTGATTGGAATAGTTTCAGAAGGAATGGTACCAGCTCCTCCTTGTACCTCGGTAGAATTTGGCTGTGAATCGATCTGGTCCTGGACTTTTTTTGGTTGGTAAGCTATTAATTATTGCCTCAATTTCAGAGCCTCTTATTGGTCTATTCAGAGATTCAACTTCTTCCTGGTTTAGTCTTGGGAGGGTGTATGTGTCGAGGAATGTATCCATTTCTTCTAGATTTTCTAGTTTATTTGTGTAGAGATGTTTATAGTATTCTCTGATGGTAGTTTGTATTTCTGTGGGATCGGTGGTGATATACCCTTTATCATTTTTTATTGCATCTATTTGATTCTTCTCTTTTCTTCTTTATTAGTCTTGCTAGTGGTCTATCAATTTTGTTGATATTTTCAGAAAACCAGCTCCTGGATTCATTGATTTTTTGAAGGGTTTTTTGTGTCTCTATTTCCTTCAGTTCTGCTCTGATCTTAGTTATTTCTTGCCTTCTGCTAGCTTTTGAATGTGTTTGCTCTTGCTTTTCTAGTTCTTTTAATTGTGATGTTAGGGTGTCCATTTTAGATCTTTCCTGCTTTCTCTTGTGGGCATTTAGTGCTATAAATTTCCCTCTACACACTGCTTTGAATGTGTCCCAGAGATTCTGGTATGTTGTGTCTTTGTTCTCGTTGGTTTCAAAGAACATCTTAATTTCATTTTGTTATGTACCCAGTAGTCATTCAGGAGCAGGTTGTTCAGTTTCCTTGTAGTTGAGCGGTTTTGAGTGAGTTTCTTAATCCTGAGTACTAGTTTGATTGCACTGTGGTCTGAGAGACAGTTTGTTATAATTTCTGTTCTTTTACATTTGCTGAGGAGTGCTTTACTTCCAACTATGTGGTCAATTTTGGAATAGGTGTGGTGTGGTGCTGAGAAGAATGTATATTCTGTTGATTTGGGGTGGAGAGTCCTGTAGATGTCTATTAGGTCTGCTTGGTGCAGAGCTGAGTTCAATGCCTGCATATCCTTGTTAACTTTCTGTCTCGTTGATCAGTCTAATGTTGACAGTGGAGTGTTAAAGTCTCCCATTATTATTGTGTGGGAGTCTAAGTCTCTTCCTGGTCTCTAAGGACTTGCTTTATGAATCTGGGTGCTCCTGTATTGGGTGCATATATATTTAGGATAGTTAGCTCTTCTTGTTGAATTGATCCCTTTACCATTATGTAATGGCCTTCTTTGTCTCTTTTGATCTTTGTTGGTTTAAAGTCTGTTTTATCAGAGACTAGAATTGTAATCCCTGCCTTTTTTTGTTTTCCATTTGTTTGGTAGATCTTCCTCCATCCCTTTATTTTGAGCCTATGTGTGTCTCTGCACGTGAGATGGGTTTCCTGAATACAGCACACTGATGGGTCTTGACTCTTTATCCAATCTGCCAGTCTGTGTCTTTTAATTGGAGCATTTAGCCCATTTACATTTAAGGTTAATATTGTTATGTGTGAATTTGATCCTGTCATTATGATGTTAGCTGGTTATTTTGCTCGTTAGTGGATGCAGTTTCTTCCTAGCTTTGATGGTCTTTACAATTTGGCATGTTTTTGCAGTGGCTGGTACTGGTTGTTCCTTTCCATGTTTAATGCTTCCTTCAGGAGCTCTTTTAGGGCAGGCCTGGTGGTGACAAAATCTCTCAGCATTTGCTTGTCTGTAAAGGATTTTATTTCTCCTTCACTTATGAAGCTTAGTTTGGCTGGATATGAAATTCTGGGTTGAAAATTCTTTTCTTTAAGAATGTTGAATATTGGCCCCCACTCTCTTCTGGCTTGTAGAGTTTCTGCTGAGAGGATCAGCTGTTAGTCTGATGGGCTTCCCTTTGTGGGTAACCTGACCTTTCTCTCTGGCTGCCCTTAACATTTTTTCCTTCATTTCAACTTTGGTGAATCTGACAATTATGTGTCTTGGAGTTGCTCTTCTCGAGGAGTATCTTTGTGGCGTTCTCTGTATTTCCTGAATTTGAATGTTCCCTGCCTTGCTAGATTGTGGAAGTTCTCCTGGATAATATCCTGCAGAGTGTTTTCGAACTTGGTTCCATTCTCCCCATCACTTTCAGTTACACCAATCAGATGTAGATTTGGTCTTTTCGCATAGTCCCATATTTCTTGGAGGCTTTGTTCATTTCTTTTTATTCTTTTTTCTCTAAACTTCTCTTCTTGCTTCATTTCATTCATTTCATCTTCCATCACTGATACCCTTTCTTCCAGTTGATCAAATCAGCTACTGAGGCTTGTGCATTCATCACGTAGTTCTCGTGCCTTGGTTTTCAGCTCCATCAGGTCCTTTAAGGACATCTCTGCATTGGTTATTCTAGTTAGCCATTCATCTAATTTTTTTCAAGGTTTTTAACTTCTTTGCCATGGGTTCAAACTTCCTCCTTTAGCTCAGAGTAGTTTGATTGTCTGAAGCCTTCTTCTCTCATCAAAGTCATACTCCATCCAGCTTTGTTCCATTGCTGGTAAGGAGCTGCATTCCTTTGGAGGAGGAGAGGCGTTCTGATTTTTAGAGTTTCCAGTTTTTCTGCTCTGTTTTTTCCTCATCTTTCTGCTTTTATCTACCTTTGGTCTTTGATGATGGTGATGTATAAATGGGGTTTTGGTGTGGATGTCCTTTCTGTTTGTTAGTTTTCCTTCTAACAGTCAGGACCCACAGCTGCAGGTCTGTTGGAGTTTGCTGGAGGTTCACTCCAGACCCTGTTTGCCTGGGTATCAGCAGCGGAGGCTGCAGAACAGCAGATACTGGTGAGCAGCAAATGTTACTGCCTGATCGCTCCTCTGGAAGTTTTGTCTCAGAGGAGTACCTGGCTGTGGGAGGTGTCAGTCTGCCCCTACTGGGGGGTGCCTCCCAGTTAGGCTACTCAGGGGTCAGGGACGCACTTGAGGAGGCAGTCTGTCCGTTCTCAGATCTCCAGCTGCATGCTGGGAGAACCACTACTCTCTTCAAAGCTGTCAGACAGGGACATTTAAGTCTGCAGAGGATTCTGCTGCCTTTTGTTTGGCTATTCCCTGCCCCCAGAGGTGGAGTCTACAGAGGCAGACAGGCCTCCTTGAGCTGCGGTTGGCTCCACCCAGTTCGAGCTTCCTGGCCGCTTTGTTTACCTACTCAGGCCTTGGCAATGGCGGGCGTCCCTCCCCCAGCCTCACTGCCGCCTGGCAGTTTGATCTCAAACTGCTGTGCTAGCAATGAGGGAGGCTCCGTGGGCATACAACCCTCCAAGCCATGCGTGGGATATAATCTCCTGGTGTGCCGTTTGCTAAGACCTTTGGAAAAGTGCAGTATTAGGGTGGGAGTGACCCGATTTTCCAGGTGCCGTCTGTCACCCCTTTCTTTGACTAGAAAAGGGAATTCCCTGACGCTTTGCACTTCCCAGGTGAGGCAATGCCTCTCCCTGCTTTGGCTCATGCTGGGTGCGCTGCACCCACTGTCCTGCACCCACTTTCCAACATTCCCCAGTGAGATAAGCCCAGTACCTCAGTTGGAAATGCAGAAATCACCTGTCTTCTGCGTCGCTCATGCTGGGAGCTCTAGACTGGAGCTCTTCCTATTCGGCCATCTTGGCTCCACCCTCTCATGCAGGTCTTAAAACCTAGATGACGGGTTGATAGGTGCAGCAAACAACCATGGCACACATATACCAATGTAACAAACCTGCATGTTCTGCACATGTATCCCAGAACTTAAAATTAAAAATATAATTAAGTATAATTTGCTGAACAATTTCATTTAAAAAATAGTGTTATAAGATATTCATGTTTTTTTCTTCCTAAAAAGCAAAAGCAAGTGATAAAGAATTTGAATAACCTTTACACACACACAGAAAAAATATCCTCAGCCTCTCCTCTCCTCCCTATCCCCCCAACAAGCTAGACACACAGGAAGTAAAGAAAATCCGCTAATGGACAAGAGTAAATGATATTGGAAGAGACTAGATGGGGTCAAAGTGTGCATTGTGGAACACAAGAGACAGGTAAGTGATTCTCAGCCTGCTCTGGTTACTAATGAGAGGAAGCAGGGAAGGATCTGGGGAATATTATCAGGTTGGTGTAAAAGTAGCTGCGGTTTTGCAATTAAAAAGTCAAAAACTGCAATTACTTTTGCCCCAACCTATAAAACCAAATATCGACTAGAAGCCACCGGTGGATTGATAAATGTCTCTAGAGCAATCACTTTGGAGACTAGATACTCCAAATCATTTCCATCTTAATGAAACCTTCTTTGTTTGGCCATCAACCTATCCCTAAGTTAGTTGAACACCTTAAATAGAAAATTGCATTTCATGCTACATGAAAATGCAGCAGCTTGATTTTGAATAAGAGAATGCTTGGCTTAAGCAATGCATTTAAAAAGAATTTTAGGGTCAGTTTTGCCTGAACATCCAGTGGCTCTAGAGTCAGGGCTAATTCCAGTTGGGTCCATAGATGAGGTCAGCCTAATGACTCTTCATCTGCACAACCAGAGGCAACAATACAGGCACCTGGTCTTCGCTGCTGCATTTCACCTGCTAAGACGCTGTGGATATTCCTCCCCTTCCCAGACAAAGCAGGGGATCTGACAGGCTTTCAGAAAATGCCAACTCCTTTCTCTGCCATCAGCATACGCATCTTGCCTCAAGTTGTGAGAAGCTGTTATCTTTTACTCCACCTCTAAACCTGTTTCTCCCTTTTCTTCCCCACTTGGGTCTAGGAAGGTGTATCAAATTCCTAGGATTTGTGTAACAGAGTATCACAGATTTGGTGGCTTCAAACAACAGAAAATTATTGTCTAATGGTTCTAGAGGAGAGAAGTCTGAAATCACAGTGTTGTCAGGGCCCTGCTTCCTCTAAGGGCTCTGGAGGGGATCCTTGCCTCTTCCAGCTTCTGGTAACCTCAGGCATTCCTTGGCTTGTAGATACATAATTCTGACCACTGCCTGTCTTCACATGGTGTTCTTCCTGTGTGTCTATGTCTTTACGTTGTCTTTTCTCTTTCAATAAGAACACCAGTTGTATTGGATTAAGGACCTACTTTACTTGAGTATAACCTCATCTTTACTAATTCCCCTCCAAAGACTCTATTTCCAAATAAAGTCACATTCAGCAGCACTGGGGTTAAGACAAGCATATATTTTTTGAGGAAATAATTCAACCCATAACAGAATAATAAGATAAATCATTCTAGTTTGCTTTTGTGTTACCCATAGTTTGTGTGTTTGTGTTTTCTTTGTAAATATCCTCTCAGAGTAAAAAGAATTCATTCTTAGTTCCAACTTTGGACCAGAAAGTGGGCTTTTAGTTAGAATTAAATGAAGGTTATCAATTATCAAGTTTGCATTGTGTTTCAATCCTCCATATTTACTAACCACAACCGATCCTTCAATTTCAGCCACTTTCTTAACTACTTCTACTTAATTTACACTAATCACTGTCAAACCCAACCTCAGAATTCTTGAGCCTATTGGATCCCTAAAAGTTATTAGTAATATGAGAACTTATTTTCTTTTGGTCAGCTGGACTATGTTCTCAAATAGTTTTGTCCCTACTCCGACAAATCGCAAATCCTACACGTTTCATCACTACAAGTTTTCAACATTCCTTTACTCAAGGCTACTGGAAAAGTAGAATTAGAGTACTAGTTTTATGAAAACCAATTGTACCATGATTTAGTATCTGAAAAAGACCACCCAACCAGGCCTATGGACAGAGAAAGCAGGATGTCTAAGAAGTAACACATCAGTTGGCCATGTGACTTGGGGTGGAGTCTACCAAGTTTCAGGTACCAACCTGAGATGCTCTTTTCTAGATGGGTGTGTGATGTACCCATCAACTCTACATCGAATTTGCCCATTTTAGAAGCTTAAATTATTTTCGTTTCCTAAGGACGTCCATGATAATGACATCAGCATTGGCCACAGGGAATCTTAAATTATGTGGCAACAGGGACAGTGGTAGGAAAGTGATGACAGGGCTACTAGGGAAATACCTCTCAGCATTAGATGGGAGGCTTCAAACATCATTTGGGGAAGATGAAGAAAAAGTCCCTGACATGATGGAATTTATATTTCAGAGTGAAGAGACAGACAGTAAGCAAATAAATAAGGACATTTACAATGTGTCAGATGAT
The DNA here is from genome assembly GCF_000001405.40 of Homo sapiens. NCBI lineage: Eukaryota > Metazoa > Chordata > Mammalia > Primates > Hominidae > Homo > Homo sapiens. The sequence continues at coordinate 32,168,829 of NC_000008.11, read as the reverse complement.
ACAAGACAGACATAGAAATAAGGGGGCCTAGGAAGGGGATGAATGGTCAACAAAGGCCTTGTTGATAAGATTTGAGTAGAAACATGAAAGTGACGTGGTCAGCCAGCGGCTTTCCTCTTCCTCCAAAAAGGACACATTGATTTTCTAATTCTGTCTTCATGGATTTTATGTTTTAGAAACTTTCACTTTCCAAGAATTTAGATTGTTGGTTAATTGTTAAAATTCATTCTCTTTGTAGAAGGCCCCCCAGTCACAGACTAAAGTTGGGATTTGGCTTTCATTGCAGAGGGCACTAAATTCAACCAGCAACAAGACCTTCACTTCCATGCATATGCCAGCTCCAGATTTCCACAAGAATGGGACTAATTTAATTTCAAGTAAATCCCCTGATAATACTTCATGATTCTAGCCCAATGCAACTTGCAATACCATTGAGAACATGCACACCAGATATCAGAACACAGGCACCAGGCAGCAAAGCACATTGTGTTGACCAGTAATATATCCCCATGCCTGATACATGGTAGACAGACAATAAGTTTTTGTTGAATTGATTTTTTTGAACTCATATCCTTCCTTTGGAGTTTTCCCTGATCACTGGGATTGAGTTTCCCATTTGAGATCTGCTTCTTCCACAGTTATTATTGTTTCCATTTGTCTTTACTCTCCATGATGCCGGCCCATCACTGGCTGTGATTGCTCTTCTAGTTGAGTTGCACGTCAGATTATTGAATGTGTTAGCATGGTGAGGAATCAGTGATGTAACAATGTGGGATGTGGGCAGGGAGAGCTATATTTTTTTCCCCTAAATGAAATTACTAGATAAAGAGAACTCCCAAAGTATATCAAAATGCATGTTTGGAGATTTGGATCTCCAGAGGGAGGGGCAAGCTGCTCACAGATGATAAAGCCATTTCCTTTTCATTCCCTTGCTGATTTTAGCTGTTTCAAAAAGAGCAAGGTGGAGGCTCCAATGATCCATGCTTATCATTGGTGGTTTGATCTTAAGGACCACTGAAGACACATTCTGTTTCGCTGCCCAATTTATTTCTCAATCTGTACCAGATGCCATCCCCAGAATGGGGTTTATATTTTCCCATCATGTGCTGCTGGCAAAGATCTGCTGTTGAGGGCTGTTATTTTAAATTCTATTTTATAAATCATGTACTCTCCCATTTAGCCATTTCCTACATTTTATCATATCCCAAACCTATCATTGATTGCACCAGCCACATATCCCTGTGGTTTTCTCTTAAAAAAAGATCTGTGTGAAGAAAGGTAGATCTGGGAAGAATATCAACCAGTGGAGGGTTATTTTGTAGAAATGATTACTTTTCTTTTTCTGAAAGAATTTTTACCTCTTAAGAAATAAAACTACATCAACCAAAATGGGTTATATGTTCATCAACCCCGTATGTTCAATATTTGCAGAGTGCCTGCAATATGCTAAGCATTTTTCTAGACACTGAGGATATAAAAGTGGATAAAACAAATGAAAATCCCTAATCTCATGGCTCTTACATTCTGATTTACGTAACAGGAGGTGGCTTCCTAACCAAAACTTTCTACTTTTAATGGATTATCAAGGAATTGGGGTAGGGGCTGCCATTTTAATATGCCTATCTGGCTTTGCCTAGCTGGATTTTGACTTTAACTTATATTAATTTGACTTACACTTAGATTAATTTATTAGCTCCTTATTATATAACACCACTGATTAAAGACAATGATAATAGAAAACATGCCAAGTTCAAACTCATTAGCTTAAAAGCTTCAAGTCAACTTTTCTCCTAAAGTATAGCTTTTACATACCTCCTGGGCTGCACATGGACCTAACTAGAAGATAAAGAGGGAACTTTTGCCTTGCAATGAAACCAGCCATAGTTTAATGTCCATTTTGAATGGTGAAGGTATTCTTCCATAAACAGTCCATGAATTGTTCTTTTGGTTATTCCATCAGTTGCAGCCTATCATTACAAAAACCATTAAACTTAATGGGTCTGAAACTGGCTATGATTTTAATGCCAGTTAAGCCTCCATTACCTACAGATACAGACAATGAACTCTGGGGATACATTCCTACTTTTCATAGGGGAAGGATTATTCAAAGATCACCAGCTCCTTCCTCTTTGGTACTGAAGCAACAGCAGCTCAATTGGACATAGCACTGTTACCATCAGGGGAGGTCCATGTTGTCTCCCTCAACTGTAGATTCTTCGTCACTCCAGGTGAAAATGGTAGAAAAATACAACTTGTCACAAATTTGCTGTAAGTGGACAATTCCTGCCAAGCTGACACATGTAGCTTTGCTTCTCTGATGTCACCGGATAATATAACTCACTGCTAAAACAGTGTTGACAGTAGAAGGAGAAAAAAAATGAATCCGTAGAGCCAAGGATAATATTACAAAAACAAGGAATGACAATGAGGCAATTTCCGCATATGTCTGCATTTCAATTGGCAAACTACAAGCTGGAGATATGTAAATATCACTATGGCCACTGTCTAACCCAGGATTCTATTTCCAGTTGTGAGCTGAGCACTTTACACAAAACACTCTGCAAATAATTACTGATTTATGAAAAAAAAGAGAACAAAACATATTGCTCCTCTCTCATTCTCTACCCTTCTCTAAGTAGCACAAGGGTATAGCAAATAAAATGAATAAAATCAGCCTTTTAAGCAACTTCCCAGCATAAGTCATTACTTGGCAAGTGGCTACAATATTTGTCTATAATGGCTCTTCACAGCATGACATTTACTTCCAAGTAAATGTCTTAATAAAAATGGCATCAAAATCTTTACCTAAGGTAAAGCAGGGTGAGGATGAAATTATTCCATTTCAGAATGAAGTAAATCCCTATGACCATCTATGATCATGTACACAAGCAATGGGCTGACCGAACACATGTGGCATGTTTGCAAACCTATGTGCTCACAGGTGCTTTCGGGGCAATGAATGATACTTGATTTTCTTGGTATCTTTCACACCACTTATCATTGTAGGCACCCATTCAGTTATTCAGGAGATATTATGGGTTATAGACTAGATACCAGACACTATGATAAGGGATGAGATAAAGAGGTTCAGACATCTGATACAAACAATGCCCTCACACAGCTTACACTGCAGCCATGAAACAGAATGATTATATAGCAATCACATAAATTCAGAATTACACATTAAACCTTTGTGATTGCTTCCTTGATTCTTCCAGCAAAATGAATTACTCCTTTCTCTGCCCTCTAACAGTCTTGTTTCTCTATTCAGCATCTACTTCTGTCTGCCTTTTGCTATGAATTGGCTAAATATGTTTTCTTTTTTCTTTTGTTTATTATACTCATATGTTTTCATTAGACTACAATCTACTCAATAATAAGGGCCAGGACAGGTGCAGTGGCTCATACCTGTAATCCCAGCACTTTGGGAGGGCAAAATGGGAGGATCACTAAAGGCCAGCAGTTTGACACCAGCCTGGTAAACATAGTGAGACTCTATCTCTACAAAAATGTTTTTAAAAAGTTATCTGGGCATGGTGGCCATATGCCTGTAGTCCCAGTTACTCAGAAGGCTGAGGTAGGAAGATTGTTTGAGCCCAGGAGTTCAAGGCTGCAGTGAACTATGTTCGAGGCACTGCACTTCAGCCTGTGCAACAGAATGAGATACTGTCTCTGAAAAAAAAAAAAAATAAGGGCAATATCTTACATGTGTGATACCCACCTCCAACTTCCCTCTCTCACTAAATATGCTGTGCAATTGTAGAAATAAAAGCTAACCCATTTACTTGTTTGTGTGTGTTGGGGGGTGGGGGAGAGGGAGAGGTGTCAAAACCCTCTCATTTTATTTCTTAGTGCCTCTATTTATATACTGGAGCTAAGAATGTATCAGTGATCCCTTTGGGACATTGTAACTCCAAAGATGAAACAGCAATCCTCAATATAGAGGCAACAGGATATAATAACCTCTGAGAGACAGAGCAATTGGCCCAAAGGCATAACCATTTATATGGGAAAAGGAACAATTTTATTGGAACTAAGGGCCTAAAATTGGATCAATGCTGGTTGATATTCATATCCCATCTTTGATTAAAGGAGAAGATAAAAGTAAAGCAGTGCTTTTTTAATTGCTAAATTTATCCAACTTATGTTGTGAGTATCCTTCCTAAAATACCTCTTTTTATGGAATAATGATGACAATGGATGGTAGTTTTAAAAAAGTGTTAAAATGTAAAAAGCGGTAGTGTGTAGATGGCAGTTTTTCAAAAGTGTTAAAATTTAAAGAGAAGGCAATATATCAGCCTCTTCATTTTGCTCCTGGAGATTTTATTATCCCATAAAACCTAAATGTCTGGGAACACTGGCCTAAGGTATCTACTTTCATTGGCTGGAAGAGCTAGCAGCAAAAGTCAACCAGATATCTGAGCTGATGTCAGGAGGCAGCTATTGGCTGGTGTGCTTCATGAAGACTGCAAGATCTAAGGAGTTTCAGAATATAATTTTCTTGGCAGGAAGCATTCCAAATTCAAAGATAGATACTGAAGACAGATATATTCAGCTTCTCCCTTGTTGAGTTTTTTTTTTTCTTTCAGATGGAGATGATGAAACTAGTGTTTTCCATGGTGCTTATAGCTGATGACATAATAATAGGTCAGATGAAAAGAGTAGAAACAAAAGGGGCATAGAATAGAAAAACTAAGAGATGAAGGCAACAGAACATAAAGAAGGATGAAAAGGTCCGGAGGTGAGGGGAAAAGAGAGAGAACAAAAATGAGAAATGAATCGAATGTTCACGCACTCACATGTGTGTACACATTCACACACGTACATATACACAAACCACAATTGACATCATCAGGATTTGAAGCCACAGAGGCAGTTAGAGGAGCCAGTGGTTCATAAATGCTACATTGCTTCTGATTTCTCTTTACTTCCACTGCCAAAGGACAGAAACCCAAGCCTGCAATTTAACCAAAGACTTCCTAGCGTGAAATGAAACAGCTCAGCTTTGTCAATTAAGTAACAGTGAAACTCAAGGGCCAAGAATCCGAAAATGAATGATATTCCTAACGTACCAGTGTTTCCACCTTTGCAAGTTATGTCTGTTTTCTTCCTGGGCAGAGCGAGTAAATTAAGAAGGAGTAGTTAAACACTTTAGGCATAAATTGAAGACTATGACCCCATTCTTAGGGATAAAAAACATAAGATAACATTTCTGAAACTCTCTTTCCAAAGCTACTGGTGGGAGGTGTAGGCAGTGAGCAAGTAAAAGACAATAAAACTCAAACCATGTTTGCGCCTGACTCTTTTCCCCACGTTCTTTTTCTTCTTGCCAAGGATGAAAGCAGTTATTAATATGGCAACATTGATGCTTGTGTTTTTTGCAGGTTTTATACCCACAGAAAGCCTCCCAATAACTTAGAAACAAAAGTCTGCCCACACTTGGAGAGCCAGCTCATCAAAGACTGTGTCGTAGTCTTGTGGGCTCCTGCCAATCTTTAGCAAACAGTTCCCTTGAGGGCTGGAAACTCATTTCTGTTTCTGAAGTCAGTGCTCTCACACATACAAAGGAGGCTTGAGGAAGGGTGTATGCAGGGTATTCAATGATGAAGGCCAAGTTCCTGCCACATGGGTCTCTAGGCTGGAAAACCAGAGCTGAGGACCACTCTGCCTGGAAGGGTTCCCTTCCTGTCTCGCTCTTGTAATTGTTGAACCACTTATTGGATAAATATGATTCATTGATCCTTCCACATCTTTCTACATTTAATTTTCTTTTAAGGAGCTAAATCTCCCTTGGTTCATTGGATACACATTGGTTCACAGTTTCCAGTCAAAGTTGTATCACATTTGGAAGCTGGAAAGAAGTGTCAGGAGACACCATAGAGGAAGGATGTTCACAAGCCTTGTGGTGTGGTTGGTTCATATTGCACCCCTCCTCACCCCTCGATGGGAATGAAGTCTAATGCCCATGTAATAAAGATTTTACCCAGCAGGTGGGAGTAATTACACACAGCTCATATCTCTAGGCAGCACATTTCCTTCAAGCTTATAATCCACAAGAAAACAGCAGTAGATAGCACAAATTTGGGGAACTATGAATTTGCTAACCCACTCTCCAATTTTCAAGACACCCAGGATTAATCACAAATTTAAGAGTCTTGAGTTTACATCATAACTCAAGTTTTGCTGAAGATAGGAGTGGCTGGCAAATATTTCCCCTGGATGGGGGTAAGGGGTCTGAGGCCTTTCCTTGCCATCTCTACTATGCCTCCAAGTTTTGTCTGTTTAATTTAATTAAATGGAGTAATTTTGTTCTTAGAGGTTTTTATTTTTCATTCTTTGTTTTTAGTTTGAAAAAAACAATGATTACACCATGAGTCTGAGTTTTGTTGTAATGCCATTCTGTATTTTAGGCAAATTTATAACTGTGCCTATAAAATGCCAACACAACTGAATCCAAGGTGAAAAATGTACGCATGCTTTCACAAAATTAAGATGATCGATCTAACTATTCCTTTTTACTCCAATATTTCAGCAATTTTTAGGTATACATTTGGCTGCCAGCATTCCATCATGATAGATAAAATTCTTTCTGAGATCAAATATTTCTTTCATATCAATTTAGTGACAGATGTATGAAGTTTATAAAGAGAAGTCTTGCCATGAATAGCTCAATTAATATGTTTTTCACATTGCTTCACTACGTAAAGAGAAAAGTGATGCATACATATTTGTCTTTAATCAGTTCATTTTCTGGAATGTAATGAACAGGATTATTTTTATTTTTACTGGTACATTTTTTGAACCAATCTCATCACAGACATTGCCTAGATGATCATCAAATCTATTTCCTCTTCCTGAGCACTAAGCCAGGTGGGGACTGTGTGAGGAATTCTGGCCAATGGAATGTGAGCAGAAGGTTTATGTCACTTTCAAACCAAAGCAGTTAAGTGTATGTGTGTTGGAAGGAATTGTATGTACATGCTTTTTTCTCTCACTCTTCCAACAGAACACTGTCTGAACAACGTCAGCGTGACCTTGAAGCCACGTATTGAAAATGGAGGAGCCATCTTCCTCTGGAACAGTATAGGAAGAGAATGGATTCCTGAGTATCCTCTTTAAGGAACAACCCAACCAAGAACAATGCAGTGGAATTTATACCAACAAGATACAACTGTTTGTTGCATTAAAACACTGAGATTGGGAGGGTTGTTACTAGAGTTAGCATGGTTTGGCTAAATCATAAAAACAGTGTTTTTTTTTTTTCATTTGCATGAAACACCAACAAAATGTTAAATGCAGATAAAATGTGTTATGTTGCATACTTTTATAATATAGACACAATTATTTTTCACCCGAGGATGCTCCAATATTCTATAACTTCCGTAATTAATTGTATCATTTCAGGTTTATGAGTAGCTCTATTATTACACACATAAGGATGAGTTCTTGACCCATGTAGGTGATATTGATAGCTTGTACTCTGGCTCTTTCTCTTTCCTTAATTAACTGATTCAATGAGTCTCTCTCTGCCAAAGGCTTTCCCATTTCTCATTGTTTATTCATTCGGAATTTGAGATGAGAATTCATCAAATGACTTATCAATTTTAAGTCATGTCAGCTAATTGATTACAGATATATTACCAGTTTTAATCCTTTCTAAGAAAACAATGCTTAATGAGGGAATGAGGGGTGGGGCTAGGTTAGAACTCCCTGCTTGAGAATTCTGGACAAAATGTGGATTTAAATATCTATATATTAGTCTTCATTACTTGTGGCTACAACATTCTCCACCTGTAAAGTGAGCATCACCTTATACATATATGATCAATTTTCAGGATGAGTCAGGAACATCATTAAGAAAAGGCAATAATTTTAGTAGAGTGTAGGTATTCAAGTCCATAAATGCAGCTAGTTGAGTTTTCTTTTTAAAGGCTTTTCTACGGGAATTTAGAAATCACTTACCAGAGGAAAAATAAGGATTCATCTCTCTTTAAGTGCTTGTAAGCAGAGGGCTTCTATAAAAATCAGGGGGATAAAAGTCTTGGATGTTTTGATCTGGTTTTAATACATTTTAATAATGTTCACACAAGAAATTAAATTACAATTAAAAGCTGACAATGTCAAACTATCTTGCTTAAAAAGGAAGTGTCCCTAAGCACTCTGGCATTAGGACCCACCCAGACTTAGGATCCTGTTGGCTTCAAATATTTTATTTTGTACACACACACATGCGTGTGCACACACATCACATGTCCTGAACATGAAGATGTTCACTTATTTCACTTAATGGTTAAGGTCATAGACTCTGGAGTTAGGCTGAATTCAAACCCCAGGCCCACAATAACTACTGTAGTGACCTTGAGCAAGTTTCTTAGCATCACTGACTGTCAGTTTCCTCATCTGAAGAATGAAAATAACAACAATGGTTTGCTTCATGAGTGGTGTGAGCATAAATAAGAATGATCTCTGGGGCAGCATTTAGTTCAGTTCCTAGTCACACAGTAAGTGCTCATCAATTATCAATCAATATCAAATATCAAATATTCTCAATCATTCAACCAATATCAAATATGCTCTTTGTATTTTCCCTCACTCTGCATATTTGAACGTGTCTGCCTTATTCTCATCCCTTTCAATGAAGCCAGCACACTTACAGTGGGGCACAGAGGCCTGAACAACACCTGCACTCGGGATCTGAATTTTGCTTCCAGAAGTAACCTGCCCCATCCTTCATCATCCCACTATTTCTCCCCACTAGGCTTTCACAAGGTGCCTTGCAGGGGAAGAAACCCTCTCTTCCTATGTCAGACTCACATACTTATTTATTTTCCCCAAGATCCTTCTTAGGACGTTTCTTCTCAATAAGACAATAGAGAAAATAATTTCTGCTGTTGTGCCAAATTGACTCAGAATACCTAATGTGTTAGCCAAAATCACTGCTCTCCTATTACCACATCCCATTCCAGCACATCATGAAACGGTTGATCTCTAAAAATATATATTATTTGAATCATAATTATAATATAGGGTGATTCATTCCATTATAATTACTAAGACTATTATACTAATACTACTCAGATTAATTTACCTCCTTCCCATTATAATAATGTAAGCCTTTTTCACAAAGGACATTATGTAATGTATTCACTTATTATAATTACCACAAATATTCTATACTTTTCATCGACCAAATGTTTCTTTATTTTAAAAATACTGGGATAAATGTTAGAGGAAATAATCCTATTCCCAACAGCCACATAAAGCCTTTTTCTTTTTTTTTTTTTTTTTTGAGACGGAGTCTCGCTCTGTCGCCCAGGCCGGACTGCGGACTGCAGTGGCGCAATCTCGGCTCACTGCAAGCACCGCTTCCTGGGTTCACGCCATTCTCCTGCCTCAGCCTCCAGAGTAGCTGGGACTACAGGCGCCCGCCACCGCGCCCGGCTAATTTTTTGTATTTTTAGTAGAGACGGGGTTTCACCTTGTTAGCCAGGATGGTCTCGATCTCCTGACCTCATGATCCACCCGCCTCGGCCTCCCAAAGTGCTGGGATTACAGGCGTGAGCCACCGCGCCCGGCCAAGCCTTTTTCTTAAAACAAAAACTAAAACAATCAATGTACTTTAGAAATTAACCAACATTTATTGTTTTATACGATCGTGGCTAAGCTACTGGTTTTGTTAGTAAAGGTAATAATGCTGACTAGTGGATGATCCATTGTGATTTTTACTCTTTAGTCAACTCAAAAGTCCATCCCAAGGGTGGCCTCTATGTGTATGGGGCATTCTTTTCCTCACAATAAGTGTGGTTGATGGCAGATGACATGTCGATGACTCCCTCTAATCCACAGCGAGGCAGCACTGACCCCTGCCAGACAGACTCTGGTGGGAGGAGCCTGTGTGGTGGCTCAGGGGCTATCTCTCAGATGCACGGATTTTACATCGGGATGATGTGACAAAGCAGCTTTTATCTGGGTCCAAATCCCAGTACCGTAATTTTGCTCCCCTCCCTTCCCTCACCCTTACCTCCCAACCCTTCAGAAGGACTAGCCTCTCACGTTTCCTCCTTCCCAAATCTATTAAGTCAGACATAACTGAACTATTTATATGTATGTCCCTGGGGAGGGAAGCAGAGGTAGGGGCTGGCCTCTTATTAACTTACTCTCTATGAAGATCCATTCAGTATAGTGTGTATGTATGTGTTTGTGGTGGTGAGGGGCAGCTATTTTCTTATCTCTTGGCCAAATTTTTCTATTTTACTTAGGGAAACAAGTTTAATTCTACCAGCTAGCTTGTAATAGTCAGTTTCAAGTGACCTCAGCTTTGTGATCTGTTTTGAGGTAAATCATATACATATACATGATATATATATATATATATATATATCATGTAAACCAAACAAAGAGAAACGAACAACTCTATTTTTGGGGGTGGGAGGAATCCCCATTGACAGGCTGATAGTATTATTTTAATCTTTTTTTAAAAAATTCCTATTACCTCATTCTTAGCAAATAACACATGGCACCCCAGACGGATAAGTAGAGAGTTTAAAAGTACCCTGGGTGATCACAGCATCAGAAAGCCATGACCAACCCTAGTTGTGAAGGGGTAACCCACTGAGAAGCTCAGTTGTAAGTGAGAAGGGGGCATCCACCAGGAGCTGTGGCCTTCAGAAGAGGAATTAGCTACTACCCACTGCAGCCAGGCAGGGAGGGAGCAGGGAAATGAATGCCTGCAAATCTCTCCTTCCATCCTACAACCTCCTGCCTGAGGCCTCTCTCTGGGCAAATGCTACTTGAAGACAGGATGTGAGGGAGTCCTGTTGACGTGGTTCATGTCAGCATCCCGGGACAGAGTTTGGGAAAGTGGAAAGTGTATAAGGAAGAGCTAATGGAGAATAGTCAGAATAATCAATCTTTGAGAAAGAAGCCGTGCCGTTTCCTGTCCCAATTGTAATTACCTTTCAAAGCACAGGTCAAATTTGGCCTCTAGGGAGTATTTCCTAGTTACTCTAGGTTTTACTGACTTCTCTCTTATTTGAATTTATAGCAATTATAAGTTTGTCTTGGTATCTCTCTCCCTCTCTCTGTGGATACATATTTATTCTCTCTATATATAGATATGTATATAAAAATATTTATATATTTATAAACATATATTTAAAAATATATAAAAATATATATATTTTGAGATGGAGTTTCACTCCATTATGCAATGGCACAATCTCTGCTTACTGCAACCTCCACCTTCCAGGTTCAAGCGATTCTCCTGCCTCAGCCTACCGAGTAGCTGCGATTACAGGCATGTACCACCACGCCCGGCTAATTTTGTATTTTTAGTAGAGACAGGGTTTCACCATGTTGGCCAGGCTGGTCTGGGACTCCTGACATTGTGATCCGCCCGCCTCGGCCTCCCAAAATACTGCGATTACAGGCGTGAGCCGCCATGCCCGGCCTTTTTTTTTTTTTTTTTTTTTGAGACAGAGTCTCACTCTGTTTCTGAAGTGCGGTGGCACCATCTCAGCTCACTGCAACCTCTGCCTCCCAGGTTCAAGTGATTCTCATGCCTCAGCCTCCCGAGTAGCTGGGACTACAGGTGCATGCCAGCACGCTAATTTTTGTATTTTTAGTAGAGACGGAGCTTCACCATGTTGGCCAGCTGGTCTTGAACTCCTGACTTCAAGTGATCCGCCCGCCTTGGCTTCCCAAAGTGCTGGGATTACAGGTATGAGCCACCTCTCCTTACACACACACACACACACACACACACACACACACACACACACGAGTTTTAATTTGAAGTATTTCTTTTTGGAGCATATTGAGACTTGGTTGGAGGCAATGTTAGCGTTGATCTTTACAAACATTATCAACTCCAATATCCTAGAACTTTTTTTAAGAGATAGGGTCTCACTCTGTTGACCAGGCTGGACTACAGTGGTGTGATCACAGCTCACTGAAGCCTTCAGCCTCCTAGGCTCATGCAGTCCTCTCACCTCAGCCTCCAGAGTAGCGGAGAATACAGGCCCATGCCACCATGCCTGTGTAATTTTTAAATGTTTGTAGAGACTGGGTCTCATTATGTTAGCCAGGCACTCCTGGGCCCTTGAACACTTTTAAAAAAGAATTCTGAACTTCCTATCCTGTTAGGCACATCAGTGCTTGCCAGCTTTATTCTTTTAACACCAAATTTTGCCTTCTATGGTTCCAACCACATATATGAGGGAATGGGGATACAGGGCCTGAACTCAGGCACTTCTATTCTTTCTTTTCATTCATTATTTATTCAATAGAATTTTAGCCTGCACCTTCTATGCATTAGATATTATGCCAGGCACTGGAATTACAATGGTGACATAAAAATAGACATAGTATCATAGAGTTTACACTCTGGTGAAGGAGAAGAAAGCAAAGCATAATCTAAAAAGTATGACATGAGCAAATGTAAAATTACGACTCTGATAAGTATAATAACAGCAAGGATACAAGGCACAATGATGGTGCATGATGGAGGGAACTGACCCAGGGAGGCTGAGAAGGCTGCTCTGAGAACATGACCATCAGTACAAAACCAGAAGAATAAGCAGCAACTAGGTAAATCATGGAGGAGCATTCTAACCCCGGGGAACTGCCAAACCTGAATCTCCAGGAAAGGATAGTGAGGAGGAGGAACTCAAAGAGGGCAAAAGGTCAGGAGCATGTACTATGACACTAGAAACACAGTCAAGGGCCAGGAGCTGCCTACCATGTAAGTTTTGTTCTGGAATCGGGTCTTTAAGACCAGAAGAAAGCCATTCAGTGGGGTGACATTGCCAAATTTAGCACCTGAAACAATCCTTTTGACTGCTGTGTGGAAATAACCCTTTTGACTGCTGTAGTTCAGTTGAGGGGTGATGGTAGCTTAGATTAGGATATCATGGAAGAGAGAAAAGTGGATAAATTTGAAAGACATCAGGCAGACAAAATCAATAATAACTTGGTGAATTATTCAAAAGAAAAGTAAGAAATAAAAAGGCAGTAAGAAAGTTTCTATATTGCATTGGTAAAATGGGTGAAGAACTAGGCATTGAGATAGGAGATATTAGAATACGATCAGATTCAATGAGAGGAAGAGATATGGTGACATACAGTGCTCCATGTTATAGTCATGTAAGAATTAGAACAGCTTACATAAAAAGGTATGATGGAAGCAAGGATGAACAAGCGTCAATGCAGTGTTTGATAATACAACTACAGCCAGAGACATTGCCTAATGATATGGCCCATGTCTTATTCTAGCTTTAGTGACTAATCCAAAGTCTATAGATAGAAAGGATTTAATGTGATTTCTAAAGATAGTCAATTTAATGCAAGATTATATAGTGTATATATATATATGCTGGGAAAATAGGGGAATGTGTTATTCTCCCTTTCATCTTGGAAAAAAAATGAGATTTATGGCAGTAAATAACTTGGCCAAGGCTATACGCTCTGAGTCAGCAGAAAATTGAAGGAAGAAAACTCAAGATTCAAAGAGTTGAAAGTAAATTTAGAGACCATTTGATCTAGTCTCTTTGTGGAGCAAGAGTATTAATAAAAATTTTTGCTATGAGTTGGGATGGGTAGTTAGTAACAGATTTGTGACTAGAACCCAGGTGTCTTGACTCTTAGTCTCACATTTTTTTTTCACTCCAGTGCATTTACTGAGTTTCAGGTTAATTATCCATTGCTTAGTGATTTGGCCTCTCCCAGTAGCCAAAAGAACCCTTTCTGAAATCAGCGGATAGCAAAAAGTATTGTGGAACAATTGAGGACCAGGCATGTTGGGTGAAAATTTAAGCTGATGTGAATTTTGGCAAGTCGATATGCAGCACATATGAGAACAATTATAACAATTCCCTGCGATCTCAGTTTCTTCATCTATAAAATGTGATAGTTGTGAATAATTATGTTCTTGCTCTGTGAAATTATGGTTCTACAAATGATTCCCCCAACATCCAAGTATCCTTGCTGGACTTGTGAAAATAATCCCCCTCCCCTTCCTTTCATTGTTTGGAATATGTTTCCTGATGAAAGGGAATATGTGCTGGTTTTTATCATGGAACATATTTTCATGTTTAAACTCTAGAGAAAGTGAGAGGAAAGCATAAAACAGGAAGCATCTGTATTTTTAACTGGCAGAGCAAGTGGAATTTGATGTGACTTCAACATTTTTCACTGCCTTGTATTAACAGATGGCTAGAATTCAAAATCGCTTTACATAGGAAAATGGGTGGAAACTAGTAAGAAGGCCTTGCAGAGGAAGGAAGGAAGGAAAATAAAGAGAGAAGGAGGAAGAGAGAAGGGCAAAGGAAAAGAAAGGAAGGTACTGGAGAACAGAAGGAGGGAAGGGAGTGCTGGGGGGTGCCAGGAAGGAAGAGAGGAAGTGGGACTGGGGAAGGCAGGAAGTGGAAGGGAGGAAGGCAGGAAGTGGGAGAAAGGAAGGCAGGAAGTGGAAGGGAGGAAGGCAGGAAGCACTGGGGTACCATCAGGTACTACTAGCACATTACTCTCTTGAGAGGAAGAGGGGGAGAGCAAAAGGGGAAGGGGAGGAGGAAAAGGAAAAATGAAGAGGTAGAGAGATCGCAAAACTGCATTGGCCTTCCTCAATATGGCCTAGAGATAGGTCACTTGGTTCAGAGCTTGCAGATCTACTTGGAGGTCTTGCCTCTTCCACTGCCTGCTGCTTGAGCACTCTAGTTTATACAAACTTCCATTCTCCTCATCAGAAAAATGAAGTGGAGAAGAGAGGACAGGGAAGAGTTTCAGATGAACAAAGCTTCACCAAAGAATCTGCCTGTTATTTGTCCAAAAGCCAATGTTCAGTAGGACTTGTTCCCAGCACCTGGATGAAACCATGTAGTTTCCATCATGTTGTCTTATCGGGAAGCTCAATAGTCAGGGTGGTTACTTGATCCCTAGAACTAAGCTATTCAATTCTCCCACCTAACTTTTCAGACCACCAATGGTTTTTTGGTTCCACCAATGGATTTTGGTTCTCCTGCTTAGATTTCTTTTGATATCCAACAAAGAATACTATCACTTCATCCCTAGTGTGCCCACAGATTCTCAAGTTTTCTAACCTTGCCACCCTCTGAGATACCAGGAATGTATGGAAATTCAGACCTAAGTAGGATTCTTTCATAGCTTTTCATTGGAATTCTTAGTTTCTAGAAGAAATGTATGCAATATTTTGCTATCAGATGAGATTTGGTGCATTCACAGTGATATGGCCATAGACTAATTTTCTATCATCAAGTGGATTTCAGGGAGTTACTGGTTGACATATAGTTAATACATACTTTCTTTGCATACCAATAATTACCTTGAATTAGGAGTAACAATGTCAGCTAATAGACTAGGGTGGCAGGAACTCCATTTTCCCTCATTCTTCCTCAAGGGGACAACTTAGCATCTATTTCTCTTCTTTCTCTCCTTGCTTTCTGTACTGGCCTTCATTCTCTGTATTAAAAAGTCAGTCTAGGGCAGATCACAAAGGGCATAGCTGTCCTTAGTGAGAGGAGGGATAAAATATCAAGAGTATGGACCTCCTGGGATTGCTTCTTCTTCCTCAACTGATGGAGCCAGCTGGAAGCTCGCCCCTGTACTGTATCCTACTCCCACCGGCCTTCTGCTTCTCTTCCACCTCTACCTCTGACCCACTTTGATGAAATCCCCCAAATCCCAGCCACAATTTGGCCCCACTGTAGATTCTGCTGAATTGCTAATTTTTTTAGAATTGGGGGAAGCCCCTGGCTCTCATTCCCAGGCACATGAGAGATGAAAAATCCCCTGTCCTATTAAGCACTAGGCATAATACAGTATGCCTTCTCCAAAAGAATTATTATAGGTGGTTATTAGTATTCTCTACATTTGAGCCTCTAAACTTGAGTTCCTGGACAAGTTCAAATGGGTTTCTACTCCTCTTAAAAATGCATGCCTATTTTTGTGTGCACGTGTATATTTATCACAGCAGGCAAATTTACTAAGAAAGGGGATACACAGGTTTTTATCTAATTTAAAACTTTTTTTTGACTTGAAAGTGGATGAGCAAATTTGCCTAGTAGATGAATTCATGTGATGCTTTTTTTTGTGGATTTAACCAGTTCAGCAGTCACTCTTTGGGACAATTCTTTCTATATTACAAAAAATTCACTTAAAATCAACTTGTGAAACATAATGTCTTCCTGTAAATTGGAGACTGGCTATATTAATGGAAATAGTTTAGTATATATTGATGTGTGAATTACATGCAGTGAAGGCATTTACTATTTAAAAGTATGTCATAGGAAGTTATTTCATAATCATTGATCGTCTCCTGAATTATCTGAGTTATAAGTATTAATTAGTTGTCCTTAAAATAGAGTACTTACAGATGACTAAAACCAAGGTTTTAAATCTTTTTCAAGTATGTTTAGTGTCTAACATATAACTCTAGACATGTTTGAGTCTTTTTCAAATATGATGTATAAACTCTTTAAAAATAAAAGTTAAACTTGGAATATGTGACAAAGCCATCAGGGTTTCTTCAAATAGAAGAACCACAAAGTGTTCTCTACAGCTCTACAGCTTGCAAATGTTCATCACTAACACACGAAGTGAAGAGCTATCTCCCTATGAAGACCACAACTTTTAGAAAACAGCATTTCCATTTTATTCCCATCTAGCAATCTTTCCCCTAAAGGAATAGCTGAACAATACATGCACACTTAAGATTGCTAAGGCAGAAACAATTATTTAAATCCAGTTGTGGAGCTCTTGTGATGCAACGTGAATAGCTAAAATACAAACAACTAGAATCTTACTTTTAAATTTTGTGCACTTCGCCTAACTCACTGATAAGGCATGTCTAGATGGGGCTAGGAATTTTCATTTTTCTCTCTCTCTCTTTCTGAAGCGCTCCCACTTTCCTTACTGTAAATATTGCAAAGGGCTTGATGGATAGAGGAGCTTCACGGACAATGTCTGAAACCCTTTTCAACACTGGAATTTTATGAACAACACCCAAAGGCACTGCGCCTCATAGGTAGAATATTAAAGTATGGGGCCAGAGAATACAGCTTGGCTCTAGATCTGATCTGCCCCTGTTCTTCCAGCTCCTCCTCTCTGTTGCCAGGTTCCCCCTGCTCAGATTTCTGCTTCCAGCTGCGTCATCTGGCTCTCTCCCTTTCATTTCTTGCTCATTTCCCCAGCAAGTATAGAGACTTACATTTCCGATCCTCACAGATTTTCCCGTTCACCACTCAAGTTTTCCCTTGAAGCCATGCTTTCCAGAATCAAACCTTCCACTGCCCTGACCTTCATAGCCCTGTTCTACACCTAACCCCACCTCACCTCAATCCCAGACTCACTTTCCCAATTCACACCTGCCTTTTGCTTGCAGAATCCTTTGCTAAGAGCTCTGCTACCTGGTAGGTTATTTTATTTTACTTATTACTATGGCTTTTATTTTTGTCCAAAATGAGAGCCCAATTTTTAGCTTCTCTGTTCAGTGAATAAACAGAATCCTCAGGTCCTTTTGCTTTTTATTGGCCTTTATCTCAAACATTTTCCAGAACTTCTATCCACGTAGCCTCTAGACATGTCAAGAAATAATATTTCTCAATCTCTAATTCCTGGGAATCTCTCTGGGCAATGAACATGACATTATTTTCCCTGGTACATGAATCCGGTGCCCCTCCTGCTAATTTTTTATTTTTTACCAGCTGTCTTACCTCATATTGATATACATTCCATTTCATAGACACCCCTTAGCTATTACACTTCTTCCTGAAACAATTTCAAGTTTACAGTTTTGCTATTTCTGGCCCCTATCCTAGTTGACAGCTGAAAAATGACAAAGATAACACAACATATCTTACCTTCTTTGTTGATGCAAATGTTGACCGTAGGTTGACAAATACTGAACTCTTAAAAGGACACTAAAAATTTATAACTTGGGTTTTGACCACAATGAAACAGTTTAGAGGATAATTTGCAATAAATATGGGTATGTTTATTGGGTATGGGCACTTCTTTACACACATTTTTCTCTTTTACTTGAACATGTGCTGAAAGTGAAGGTCGAGGTCCTTTATAGCCTCAAAGGCACTGAGATGCTCAGGAGCCTGTGGGCCAGGGGTCTTAGTCTGTTTGGGCTGCTATAACAAAACTTCTTAGACTGAGTCATTTAGAAATAAAATAAATTTAATTATCACAGTCTGGAGGCTGGAACGTCCAAGATTAAGGCGCCAGCACATTCAGTGTCTGGCAAGGGCTCACTCTGCTTCATAAAGAGTGCCTCTTGCTACGCCCTCACATGGCAGAAGCAGAAGGGCAAGAGGCCCTAGGGTGCTCTCTTCAACCTCTTTTATAAGAGCATGAACCCATTCATGCATATGGAGAACCCCTCATGACTTAATCAGTTCCCCAAAGACCTTATCTCTTGATTATATCACACTGGGTACTAGGATCCAACATATGAATTTTGAAGGGACATCAATGTTCAGACAATTTAGCACCAGGCTTCTTGTCCCTGTAGCTACACTGACTCTTAGTGGGAGATGTTCTCAAATTACAATGTGTATTTTCCACTAAATTGTGGCATTTATCACTCCAGAAGGCTTTCAACCTTTTGGGTTTTTTTTCCCTTCATGTACATAAAAATGAATACAAATGCAGTTTGTAAATGCTACGTAGTGTTTGTTGCTCTGCATGGTTTTATTTAATTGTGTTTTGAAACTCATATAGGACACATCAGGGTGCCTTCTTATAAGCAAATGGATATGGTAATAAAGCATTTTAATAAATTCAATCAATACATATATAAGGATGATTTTTAAAAAATTCTAGCCCTTGCTAGTGCTGCCAAGAAAACCAGCATTATTAGATGAAATAATTTTAAAGCTGAACTCAGTATTGATTGATCCTTTTATTTAGTATTCCTCTTGAATTTTATGTTTCTAAAGGTTGTACAACAGCGGACAAAATATATGACCAAACTCTGTTTTCCAAATTGGGACACTGACATCTAGGGAAGGTAATTTTTTTCTATAAGCTATTGCAACTGGCTGAAGAAAACTATTTTAATTTATTTCTGGGCAGAGATAATTATATGAAGTTCCTGACAGATAGTGGCCATTTTACCTCATTCTTCCGCCTTTTTCTTTAAAATCAAAACAATCAACAAATATATTCTGAGTGTCTCCTGGGGATACAAAAGAATGCTCTAGCATCAAAAACTTTATAACTTATTTTTAAAGAAAACATATAAGCCCATAAACACAAATCCTCTGTATAAACTACAGAGAAATTTGTATTAAATGATTTGTTCAGTGCAGTGGACATTTAGAACAGAAGGGCATCCCTTCATGTTGGAGTGTTCAGGAAGGCTGCATGTTGAAGCTGGTTAAGTTCCTGAGGGAGGGGAAGGTATTCCAGACCGGAAGACATGCAGGAGTAAAGGCCAGACATCCGAGGGTGCACGCTTCATTCAGAAAACTGAGAAGAGGCCAACTAAGATGGGAAAGAAACTCCAAATAGAGAAAATTGTCTGCATTTAGCATAAAATAATTTTGAGACAGGTACAGTCCAGGCTTCTTGAATGCTAAGACTTATCTTCTTCTCTGTAATTCCTTGTGAAGGCTTATACTACAATGTTTTTGCAAAACTCACCAACAGAGTGACTAAAATTATCTTTTGGAGAAGCAGGAAAAATTTCATTAGTCCCACTTTGAGAATGAAAAAAGTGAGGTTCATGGTGTTGCTTGCCCAAGTCCACATAACTGGTAGACTCTGTGATCAGGCTTCATGTCCCCAAATATTTATCTTGTCAAAGTCATTCTTAATTACGTTCCTGCAGCACATAGGTCCTGGATGATAGATGCCCAATGTAAAATAATAGAGGTGATCCAGACCCTGATCTTAGGAGTTTAGATGGGCTCCCAACTCTGCAACTTAATAGCTGTAAAGACCTGAGCAAATGACTTAATACATATCTGAGTTTCCTTATCTATGACTGCAACTTACAATAGAAACAAATAACACATAACTTACTGGGGTGTTGTGAGGATTTATTGAAAGGGTGTCTACATATTGCCCAGAGGATACCAAATGTTCCTCAAATGTTAATTCTTCACCATCTCACCCACCTCTAATATTTAAACACATCTATTAAATTACTTCCAACAGAGGTCATTTGGCTTGGGATTACTCCCAAAATCATTCATCAGTGCCTGAAAATCTTTCTAAATTAACTGAGGTAGTATAAAAAATTAGCCGGGCGTGGTGGTGGGCGGCTGTAGTCCCAGCTACTAGGGAGGCTGAGGCAGGAGTATGGTGTGAAACTGGGAGGCAGAGCTTGCAGTGAGCCGAGATCGCGCCACTGCACTCCAGCCTGAGCAACAGAGCTAGACTCCGTCTCAAAAAAGAAAAGAAATTATCTGTAAGGGCTTCACAGTGGCAAGAGTCTGATATATGGAGCTAAGTTCAACATTTGCCACTTCCTGCAGGTATTATGATTTTGGCACAGTGGTTAGGGCTTGGGTCCTAGGGCCTGATTGTGTGGGGTCAAATCCTGCCTCAGCTCTACTGGCTGTGTCTACCTGGATAAATTATTTCGTCTGTCTCTGCTTCAGTTTCCTCATATTTGAAATGGGTATATTTATAGTATCATAGGCTTATTGTGAGATTTAAATGAGTTAAGACACTCAAAATACTGAGGAAATATATTCAACAAATTTTAGTATCTATAGTTATTATTATTATTATTGCACATAATAACAAAAAAACCTTTGTTTTCACATTATAAAAGACTTTCACGAGTATTTGTTTATTTGACCACTATGTTTATCCAGTGAGAAAGGTAGAATAATAGTTATCATCCCCATTTTATAAGTTTTATTTTTGGAGAGGGGTAAATTACACATTATTATTTAAAAATATTTCAAACAACAAGAGAAATTCAAATAAAAAAATAAAGATAATGCTGAATTCTACCACAGAAGAGGAAACCACCATTAGTAGTTCAGTGAACACCTCTCTAGGCACCTGTGTCTTCACATACGTACGTGGATAGGTGTGCTGTTATGAATGGAATCATATTCAGAATCCATTTAACAAGTATTAATTGAATACCAAGCTTGGACCAGAAGACAGTGATAGAGTTAGAGGGAAGTGGATGATCTGAAACACACTTAGGAATGAAAAAGACATCATGGTGGATTAGATATGAGAGATGATGAAAATTAGGGGATAGGGATAATATACAGGTTTTGCCTTGTATAATAGGATTTATTGGTGAGGATTTACTTAGGAGGGAAGAGTATTATTCTGTGATACTTTTACTCATTCATTTATACGTTATGGTAATTGCCCAGGGCAATCAATACACCTATACATTTTCATTTTTAGTGACTGCATAGGATTACATTGTATGTACAGTTCTATATGCAATTAAACTATTCCTGTATTGACATTTATTTAGATTGTTTCCAATTTGTAAATAATTTTCAACAAAACTATGGTGAATATCCTTATGAAGACATTTGGTTTTTCACTTATTCAATTATCTACTTAGCGTACATTCCAGGAAGGGTAAATTGCATGGCCAAAGGACATCACAATATAAATTTGACGTATATTGTCAAGCAGTCCTCCAGAAAAGCTACCCCAACTTAAGCTTATATCAACAGAACAAGAGAGTGCCCATTTATCAACACTCATTTACTCTTTCCAATCTTGGATACTGATGATCTAAAGAAAGAAAAGAGTGATCTAGAGGTGAACTATAGATGGAAGAAAGGAAATTAATGTTTACTACTTCTAAGTATGTACACATTTTTCTAGATATTTAATTCTCTTATTAAATTCTCATGATAATATCTCAATCTCTTCTCTTTAGTTTCTTGCTACTTCTTGGGTACATACCCTTTTCTTTATGGTGTTTTACTTTCCTTAGGCAGCTTTTTGGAGAAATTAAAACTATCCTATATAACTTAAGAGCTTACACCAATTAATACGTAGAAGGAGTGGCAAATAACACCATTTTCAGGAGACAAATATATAGTAAGATTAACAATTACAACAAAAAATTGCTTTTTTTAAAAAAAAAGAAAATATTATTTCCAGCAAATTATAAAGCTTGAACATGTTGTCTCATGTCCTTTGTTAATGATACCAAACAATCAAGGTTCAAGGAATGGTCAATTTTTTGATTAATTAAAGGTCTCAACCCTTTTGTGCCAATTCCCTTCAAGAAAAATCTTCCTAATATGTATGTCTGTATTTCTGACAGTAAATACAGCATAAAGAAGAGAAATGATAATTTTTTTACATTGATTAGGGATCATTAATATGCCTTGAGTTTATCATTCTAATCATTTTAATGTAGAGGAGGAAGATCCAGGAGATGAAACCTAGTATCATAACATACCTTGAAATCTACAGCTATGATTAATTCTCATCGAAACAGTTTTGTCAATGTCTATCTTTTCCCCACAGGAAAGTGAAATCAACAAAGCTATTCAGTAGGAAGTTATTCTTAAGTTCCAATTAAACATTTTACCACCTTTCACAAGTTCTCTTAGGAAGACATCAGTTTTTTTAAGACACTTAAAGGAACCAATGAGAAAAAGTTCCCATATAGTTAAAGAGCTTCCCTCCCTTAGTTTAATACAGAAATGTGCCGGTAAAAAACATTCTGGTTCTGTCTCTACACTTTGCTCCAGAGGCACTGGGCAATTAGATTTCCCATTTGCTCACATGTCCTTGATATACATCTAAAATTTCCAGGTACAGAAACTCTTCCCAAGAAATTATTAGACTCTAGCTGCCCCTGCTCTGGAAGAACCAACATGAGATTTACATTAGACTTTTGCTGCTGTACATCACCTCCCATAAAAACTGTGGTCACTAGGAGAGTATGCGGCATCTTATGGTTAGCACAACTTCACAAAGAACCCAAAGGACCAGTGGTTACACTCCCACTTTCCAAAGCCTGCAGAGAAGTAGTGAATTTTAGAACAGGGCATCAGAAAACACATCAAAACAACTGTATTCCCAATGCTGCTGATAATAAACACCCTAACACCATTTACAGAGAGGCAGGCTCTCATGATGGCTAATGTCATCTAAAAGTCATAGGATTCTGTTATCTGTATATCTTCAGGGCTGGCCCATTGCAGTAACTTTACGAAAATTAGAAAAGGCACATCCTCTGGGGTAGACACAGCGCCATGCCTGGATTAATTCCTCATAAGTAGAGCACTAGTTGATTTCAGCCCTTGGCTGGGCACTTTGTACAATGCACAATATACCATGATCATACATGGTGGCCAGCAGGCATCACAGAAAAGGGCATATGTTCTAGACTGAGTATTGGACTTGGGGAACAAAAACTTAGATTTAAGATTAATTAGAATTGTGCTAATATATCTTTATGGGAAATATATTCTTTGTCTATATAAGTGCCCTCTTCATCTTGAAAAAAATTTAAGCCATAAGAATGGCATTCATTCTAATAGGTCATAGAAAGTTACACCTAAATACTCAATTGCTTCTGGTTCAGGTATCTCAGAAAACAACCAAGCAATTTTTTCCTTCTTGATTGTTTTTATGCTTTTTCTGAAAAGTCTCTCTTTGCACCTTTCTGGGCCGTCATTAGATACAGCAAAGCACAGGGGAGAAGGTAAAGGCTGTGGTTGAATGTGGTTATATCTAAACCCTTAGTTTTTTCCACGTGGTTGGCTAAACCAGGTGTCACTCTGAAGATTAGGATATCTCGCAGAGCTTGTGAAACCTCAGTCAAATATAAGATCTCAGCAGCTTTGCTCTGCAACTCCTCACATACCAACAAAGAGGAAAAGAAAAGATCGAATAACAAATCGACAAGAATAAGGGCAATAGTTTTCCCTCAAACTTCATATTCTATATTAAAAAATTAACACACACATACATACATCAAAACCCAGCAATAAACTTAGAAACTAGAACTGAGTAAAGGAAACAGGCAACCCAGGATCCAGTGGAGGTCTAAGAATCTGCTGCAATTATTACATTATTTTCACTTGTGCTTGTAAAACTATTTTAAGTGTAATGAACTTGTTTAAGCGAGCATCTCCAAGGATCCATCCCAGCTTGACGTTTTTAGATAAAGGAAAACCGAGACCAAAATAAAAATATATAAACAGCAAAAATGCTGAGAATGGTACCAGCCTGAGTCAATGAAGGGAATTCCTGCATGCACTCCATGGCAGCTGCCTTGCCTAGTGATAGGTGAATTACCTGGTGAATTATGCAAAACAGGCAGCCTGATTTATAGAAGAACAGTAATGGACTTATGAGAATTTAGGCAAACCTCTGGCCACATTCTAGACGATGAAACAAGAATTTCTGGCTAGTGCTACAACTAGGCATGCAGGTCTTCTCCAACACATACACACACACACACACACCTCCATAAACACACATACTATATACAGCTGGTCTTCAGATTCAGATACTTCACTACCAGCAATCACCATTTGTGACATCCGTAACTAAAAATGATCGTCTGGGCTCAACCATTTTCTTTCTTTCTTCTTCTTTTTTGTTTTCCTACATTGTCATTCAGAATTACTGTCCTTTGCTTTATGACTGAAGAAGCTTCCAGCAGATCATGGTCGGCTTGCAGCTGTGTTGCTTTGTCTCTCTCAGTCTCCAGATGCCTCTGTGTGATAAGGGCCACCCTGTCTCCACTGCCGATTGGCCTGTGATGACTGTCTTGTTCCCCAGCAGGCTCCAACTGGACTCATCATTCTAACTGCTTTTCCCATTTTAGCTCCTTACAAGGCAGATTATAGCCTCATGGGAGGAGAAATTGACGCTAAACATAAATGCACACAAATGGCAGGCAGATAATGGGAGCCCTGCATAGCAAGATATGAAATCAAAGTGCGATCAGGTCTGTGTTGATGAGCCAATGCAGCAATTCTCACCAAACTACCACTGCTTCCAAAGAGCCTAACATGTACATATTTTCTGGTAGCACACACATGCCTATGGGCATGAGTGGGTGTGTGTATTTATTTTCAATGGGCATAAACTGTTGACTTTGAAAGAAGAGAAGGTATCTGAAGTGTTGGGTGGAATACTTGTGGAGTGTAAACTTTAGGTAGGCACCAGGCTCAAGTCCTTGCCCTCACTGCTTCTCACATTTCATCACCCTGTTCTTATGTTGATCCCAGAGAAGTTGCCTGAGAAACGTGCTTGTCCAGCATTTGATGAAGAACATAGTTTATGTCACTGTAATTTATTTCAACTCAATGGGGCACTGAGAGCTGGATACATGTTCAGCTTGGTAGAAACATTGGGGAAGGGCAGTAAACCAACCAAATAAGGTCTCTGCCTCCATGGAGCTCATGGTCTGGGGAAGAACAGACATTTTTTGTACAACTTTTATTATTCTTGCTGTTAGTGCAAGATATTTATGTATAGAATCATCCAGTATCAGGAGATTTCTGGTTCTAATTGACTTTGATTTTTTCATACATTCTATATTATATTATCAGTGAAACATCCAGGAATATTAGCACATGTGAATTATTTCTTCCCCCCCCAAAAAAAAAGCCTTAACACCTTGTACTCTAGACACAGGCCATCTGCTCTGTGATCTGCCCAATCAAGGGCAGTAGCAGGCAAGTCACATGGATCCCACTGTCCCCAAGCTGACAGAGGCTGCAGCTTAGAGGCCTGGTGGACCAACAGTTGACTTCAGCTGCTGACTGACATCTGAAATTCTGCACATCACATAATGGGAAGAAACCTCCGTCTGGAGGCTTTAATGATATGACAAAAGAAGTAACAGGACTTTGGTTTGCCTCACGTTTACCACACTAAGACCTTTCTTAAAGTGTACATACAACTTTGTTTTCTGAAGACGAAGGCAGACATAAGTATACCTTTAGAAACCTAATCCATATTCTAACACGTATTCTTTTCACTGGACTCTATCTTTAAAAAAATACATGCCTGACATAATTCTGTATTTGTACCTATGTATTAGCACTATTTTTAAAACATTTATTTCTTTGTCAGAGACCAAATTCTCACAATGTCATTGGTCTAATGAATCATTTGTAAGTTCAAGGGAACAAATCCCAAAGCTGGATTTTCCTTTTGCTCTGTGCTTCAATCCTGTGTATAAGAAAAAAGAATTGTTGAGTGGTTCTCAATAGCATTTGAGCTTCTGGCCCCTTCCAATTTGCTAGGCAGATTTTCTCCATACCAGTAGCTGGCATACCTCAGCTAGAAAACACAATTTCTCCTGACTAAACAATATGTTTAGAAACCTAATGCTTGTAGATTTGGCCTATTGGTGGTCTTCAAAGTTTGATTACACATGAAAGAAGGAATAATCACGCCGAATATTGATTTTCCAAAGCAATGCTCTGTCATGCTCTTCAGGGAGATCATATAGCATAGGAAGTCTAAAAATCAGCATAGCAAAGTTATTAACACTCACACTAACAAGCACAGTCAACTATCTCTGCAATCTGTGACTGGAAATAGTGAAAAAGCAGGATTATGTATACACACATACAAATTACTTTCACCATCCTCAGGCAAGGGTCATTTGGACTTTCAACATGCTGAGATGAGCTGACTGAAGAGACCCACCAGATACCCATCCCTCTATCAGTTCAAAAAATGTCCAGGGTCAGGCAGAATGAGACTCCTGGGGTTTTAGGGTAGGCAAGCTATAAGCGTCTTTACATTAAATTTTGTTTTCATGCAGTGCAAATAGACACTAATAGCTGGTTCGAGCCCTTGCCCAGGAAACTGATGGAGAAGAACAGCCACTTTCAGGGATAGCAACAGAGTCCAAAGGCTTCCCACGGAGCTGAAGATTACTAGCAAAACTCCTGCAGTGGGAACTTTCCTGAACAGCTTTACAGCATCAGGAAAATTAGGCATGGAAAGCAAGCAGACATCCTTTATCTTCAAACTGGAAAAGCAATGAGTTCTATTAGTCGGAGTTATAAAAGTTTCTTATTGTTTATTGTGCAGTACCCCTTGAGCTGAGCAAGATTTTGGCACAAGTCTCTGTGGAACGAATGTGTATGCTGATCTTTAGCCAGAAGAGTTGTCAATTTTTCAAATGTTATTCAGATATTAGTGAAAAGTTGTGAATATTTTGGATGCATGGAGAGATATCTCTCCATGCATCATTCATATATATATATATATATATATATATATATATATATACCCACACACATAGGATATGTATATATACATATATAAAGTATATATATACACACACACACACACACACACACTTAACTATCTCACATCTGACAAATGCCACATTTGTAGACATCAAAAAGGGATGCAAAATGTTTCCCTGGCCAAAATTTCATTTCAGAAACGAAAGACGAGAAACATGGCTTATGTCTCTATAAGGTATTAGCAGTTCTTTATTAGGAATACTAACTAACCTACTAATATTTCTCTAGTGAATTCTATACTGCCAAAGAGTTAGTGGCAAATCTGCATTGAGCCCAAATTCCTCTGTTATATACAATGACTACTTTATCGCCCCTTAGCAAGCTTGTTGCTGCCCTGGTACCACATTCCTTGGTCATGTCCTGAAACAGCCCACTGACCTCAAATCCCTCTTTTATTCATTTACCAGACAATCCACTACTACATATTTTTTATTCCTATATGAAGTTTCCTAAGAATTAGATGAGAAGGAAAATACACATTTCCTGTTTTGAGAGAGTTTAGGATACTAATAAGATTTCTCATAAGTACCAAATACCAGAATAAAATAATTGACAGAGAAAAAGAGAGAGACAGAAACAGAGAGAGACACAGAGACAGAGAGAGAGAGAGTGAGCGAGAGAGAGAGAGAGAGAAGGTGCATAAACTTAAGGGCTCAAAGGTCAACAGTACAAATCAGAATGTAAGTTCTAACAAAGTGCAGAGAAAGGATAAGAGGAAATGAAATGCTCTGGAGAAGTCAATGGAGGTGGAGGTTGTCACCCTGAGTTGTGACTTAAAGTACTTGATTAGTTAGAAAAGAAGAGAGAAACCAGGTACATGGGTGGCTCATGTCTGTAATCCCTGCACTTTTGGAGGCTGAAGTGGGAAGATCACTTGAGCCCAGGAGTTCAAGACCAGCTTGGGCAGCATAGCAAGACCCAGTCTCTACAAAAAAATGAAGAAATTAGCCAGATGTGGTGGCACATGCCTGTAGTCCCAGCTACTCAGTAGGCTGAGGAAGGATGATCACTTGACCCAGGAGCTTGAGACTGCATTGAGTTGTCATTATGCCACTGCACTCCAGGATGGGCAACAGAGTGAGGTCTTTTCTCAGAAAAAAAAAAAAGAAAGAAAGAAGAAAAGCATTTCAGCAGGTGGGGAAGACAAGAGCAACAAAGAGAAACCAAGAATGACAGGAAGACAGGAAGACTATCTACCTGACTGAAAGGGAGAATTTATATTATCGAGCAGAAAA
This sequence comes from Homo sapiens, assembly GCF_000001405.40. Taxonomy (NCBI): domain Eukaryota; kingdom Metazoa; phylum Chordata; class Mammalia; order Primates; family Hominidae; genus Homo; species Homo sapiens. The sequence goes on along the minus strand of NC_000008.11, from coordinate 32,140,337 downwards.
ACTAAGGTTGGATAGGCAGGAAGGATTCAAATTGTCATAGGTTTTGAGTATCAGTTTAGTTTCTGCATTAAAAAAAAATGATACACCACTGCTTAATGACATTGCAGACATTAAAGAGATGTGCAAGTATGGCTGACAGAAATGCATCATCATGAAGGACTGCCCTGACCTTCAGCATTGTGGCTACAAACTCCAGCACCGTGGTATTCAAGCAATTCCTTTCTAGAGTGAGGGACTAGACATAAATGGCCATAGCTGCTGGGTCCCTAAGGCACCTCTCATCAGTTAGGTCAATGTGCCAGGCAGGGGAAGAAGCCTTACTATTCCACTGCATCTGTGGCCTTGAAACTCATAGCTCCTGAATCCTCAAGTCTCTGAGGCAATGCATTCCAGCTACAGATAAATACCTTAAGCAGTCACCTCAGGCAGGGCTAATTAGGAACCTCTTTCAGAAGCTACTTTGTATCCCCAAAGTCAGCTACATGGGTCTTATTGCCAACAATTTATCATGCATTGTCTACATGGTATAAACATGCATTCTCAACTTGCTATTTATGAATCTTACCTTTTTATTTTATTTCATTGATTTTGGAGTACAGGTTGTTTTCGGTTACGTGGGTAAGTCCTTTAGTGGTGGCTTCTGAGACTTTAGTGCATCCATCACCCAAGCATTGAATCTTACCCTTTCAAAGCTAAAGGTACACGTGTGTATACTTCTTAAAAAGCAAATGCACATGTTAATATGCCTGCTATAAGTGGCCTCTACATTTTAAATGCATGCCTCAAATATTTCTATTATTTGTCTATATGTAACAGTGATATTTCTTTTCAACACATATTACTTTTTCAGAGATCAAAGGTTCCTAATATCTCATTTTATTTTATGGTAATTTATGACTGGTCAAGTAAAACCAGGCTCCTTTTCAACTTTTGTTTCATGACTGTGCAAGGAGAAGGGATGGCTAGGCGGTTCTCGCTCCCATTCCATTCTTTGTCAGTTACCAGGTCCTTAAGCAGATCTTCTCCCCCAGGTGTTTGCCTTCTGAAGGGGAGAAATGGCGGTCAAAGGACTTTCCTCAAAGAGACAGTTGCACTTGATCTTGAATAAAGACTGAAATTTCATCTGGCAAAAAAAGGACATAGAAGAAGAAAGATTTCATACCAAGGCACTGAATTAGAGGACAAGGCTGTGATCTAGAAAACTTGACTCTGCATGTATCTGGGTACTCAGTCAAAGGCGCATGGAAGAAGATATGGTCAGAATGGTTGCTTGAGGTCAAAATATTAAGGATTATTTTATGCCATGCTAAAAACAAACAATTTAGTCATTCATTCACTCACTGTTGATTGACTGATTGATTGACTGATTGATTTCTCTTTTGAAAAAGTGCCTGCCTGAGGTTTAAGGGAGGAAATCAAAAAGCCAAAATTAGGTCTGATCATATTGCATTAAAAATTGCTGTGAGCTTGCTGGGCATGGTGGCTCATGCCTATAATCCTAGGGAGGCCGAGGTGGGTGGATCACTTGAGGTCAGGAGTTCAAAAACATTGAAAACAGCCTGGCCAATATGGTGAAACCCTGTTTCTACTAAAAAAAATACAAGAAAGTTAGCTGCGCTTGGTGGTGGGCGCCTATAAACTCAGCTACTTGGGAGGCTGAGGCAGAATAATTGCTTGAACCTGGGAAGCTGAGGTTGCAGTGAGCCAAGACTGCACCACTGCGCACTCCAGTCTGGGCGACAGAGTGAGACCCTGTCTCAAAAAAAAAGAAATCGCTGTGAGCCTCCTGCCAGTCACAGCCTAGGAGCTTGCGTGTGCTCTGAGCCAGCAGAATTGTGCATACCAATGTGTCCTGGTTACCATTTCCAGCTCTAAGAAGGGGGAATGCTGTCTTCTGATTGGCAGCATGTCTTTGACATGAAATCCTAAAACTTGTGTTTTGGGAGAAAAATGCTTTGTTTGTATTCCCCTGCTTGAAGGACCCCATGCTGAGCTTTAGATGTTTGCCTTCCTTGGGTGTTGGGCTTAAATGCAGATCCTCATAGAGAGCACAGACATTCTGTCCGCAGTGAAACAATGATATATTCTATTTATTGCACTGGTACATCGCCCCTGATGTTTAAATCCACTCACTATTGTCCTCACTGACGCTGTGTAGCTGCTGTTAGTGTTTGCCAAATCAGCAGATGTGATTGCTAAATATGTAGAGATGAGATGCAAGGAACAGGCAGTAAGAGGGCTTTAAAGGGGTTCTCTACTCTTCCTCTCTTCTCCAACAAGGACACCTAACATTCTTCCACCATATGAAAATCCTCTATTGTCTACTCCAAGACGCTTCAACATCAAAAGGATCCCAGCAGACACAGGATATATTTTAGGTGACTTGCAAATTTAAGAAAACTTAAATCTTAATACAATCTTAATACAAAGCTGCTTTTGGCAGAAGAACTACATATACAATATACACTTAGGAAAGAGTGAGAGAGGATTCACCCAGAATTGAATCAATACTGACTGGCCTGCAGCAGCGCATAGACTCTCAGAAGGGAGGAAAAACAATTTCCTGAAACCCAAATAGAGAGAAATCAACCACATCTCGAGGGATGAGGATGGCTGGCTGTGTGCATCAGGGGTTATCAAGGAAAGCGGAGGTGGAGAAGAGGAGGTATAAACCTAGAACCAGAGACTGGATTTGCACATGGCTCTCCTTTTATGTACCCAACTGTCTATAGAAGAAGCAGATCGTCAAATACTTGGAATCTCACGACACTTGACATATGCATGCAATTGTGCACACACAGAGAGAAAATATCATCTACATTAAATTGCTTTATAGAAAAATATATACTTAACTGCTCCAGATGGCTAATGTCTTTTATTTTATTTTTTTTCTTTTGAGATGGGGTCTCACTCTGTCTCCCAGGCTAGAGTACAGTGGTGCAATCTCGGCTCATTGCAACCTTGGCCTCTCGGGTTCAAGCAATTCTCCTGCCTCAACCTCCCAAGTAGCTAGGACTACAGGCATGCACCACCAGGCCTAATTTTTGTATTTTTAGTAGAGACAGGGTTTCGCCATGTTGGCCAGGCTGGTCTTGAACTCGTGACCTCAAATGATCCACCCGCCTCGGCCTCCCAAAGTGCTGGGACTACAGGCATGAGCCACCATGCCAGGCCATAATGTCTTTATATTATACAAGAAGACACTGGTGACTCAGCGGTAAAGGAGCTTCCTACAATTAAATTAAAAATTCATCATAGAAATCATGTTTTAAAAAAAACCCCCATGTTTATTGATTCACAATCGAATAAACCAGATATAGAGTATATGCCTCTGTAAAATGTAATTACCTCCTTATATACCCTGAAAGTATATAATGTATTCAGAACTAGTTTCATTAATTAAGTGTTGTTGATCGTCTGTGCTTAGCCAAGTACTATTAATATTAAGGTGTTATATAAGGCCCAATTCTTTAATATGAATTATGACATCTAAGCATAAGAATATAGACTTTGGTTGTGACAAATGATTGAGGAAAGTATTCATCATTTTAGAACCTCTTAGAAATATCTAAATATGCGGGCTTACCTATCGGCACTTTACCCCACAACGTTCAAACACTGGTCTTCCTGGATTTGCACACTCCATTAGTGGGGTGCCATTGTCAGTGAAGAAAGAAGACATATGATCATGTGTTAAGGCATTCTTATTAAATATCTAAGGCATAAACCCATCTACCTGTACCATGCTTGCATCAAACCAACTGAATATCGGTACAGAAAGATATGCCACCACAACAACAGAGCTCAAGTAGACCATCACAATGGCCTACTATCTGTGAAGAGTAGTGAAGGATCTGAGATTTTAGCCTATCCTGTTTTCAAAGTTCACCTGCCACTGTTTCATGGATGCTAGCAGGGGACATGAGACTTTGGGTCAGAGACCACGGACTTTATGACAATAGCAGTGGTTGAAGTGTTTGCATTTGTGTAGGTTCTCTGGGCCCCACTCCTCACAGGGTGATATGAAAAGGGCCAGGTGACAACAGTACCTGCAAGAGGTTTGTATTATAGGAGAGGAACCATGCGCTTAAGGAATCTGAATATTTTATAATGGGCAGTAAGCTCTGTTGATCTTTGCCTCAGTGGGAGGCATTATCTTCATTATCCTGAACAGCAACTGAACCTGCCTTTGCTCTGGAACAGGCCACTGTATCTTCCAACTCCTGAACCAAGAGAGTTAGTGACTCTGATCGTAAGATGAGCAAAAATGCAAAGGGCACCTAGAGAATGATCTCCCTACACCACCCTCATCTGCACTGTGTTTGATTCCTCACCTTCCTAAATGACTGTCAACCTTCTCTTTTTCAAAACATCTCAACAATCACTCCCGCATGGCTGTTTGGTTTTCTTCTACTTTGCTTTTGATCCTTTAGAGTTTCTTTTGATTTCTTTTTTATGCTCACCTGTAAATGTAAGAGTACCCCTGGGCTCTGTCCTTCTCTTTCATATCTATAAGTACTATTTAGGTGATTTCATATAGACCCTTAGCTCTAAATACTAGCTGTGTGTTACAGGCTCACAAAATTGCATCCATGTCCTAATTTCTCCCATGAACCAAAAACTTGTCCAACAAATTGCCCACTTGAAATTTCTTCTCAGATACTCAGAAGATATCTCAAAAAAATGTAAACATGGCTAAAAAATAACAAGTAATCTTGCCTCCTGATACTCCCCTTCTCTCAATCTCACCCATCTTAGTAAATGCCAGCCTCTACTTAGTTGCTCAGGTTGGAACCTTTGGAATTATCCTTTAATTCTGTATTTCCTTTGTGCCCACCCTGCTAAGCCAGTTCTTTAACAAATCTTGCCTCCTCTACCTCCAAAACAAGCTCAGAAACTCCTATGCATCTTCACTACCACCACTACCCTCCAACAGTCACCAACACTTCCCACAAGGACTCCTATAATAATCTTCTAACTCATCTCCCAACTAGTTTCCATCCTTGTCCCATGCAATTCATTTTCCATACACAGTTAGGTAGTCTTTTAAAAATTTAAGTCAAGTCACATTATTCCTCAGCATAGTCTTCTCCAATGTATTCTGCTATATTTAGAATTAAACATAAACACCTTAGCCTGGCTATAAAGCTCCCATGATCTGGCCTTGGTTCTCTCTTCACCCTCATCTTATACCAGCCTTCTTCCTACCTTTTCTTCTCCAGCCTGTGGTCTGTTCAAGAAACAGAAGGAGGTTCATGCTGACTTTAGCATCACCATGTTAGGTATTTGCCATCTGTGAAATCTGCACACCCTACTCCTTGATTTTTGCATGGCTTTTCTTTCTGTCATTCAGATCTCACTTTAAGTGTTATTTTATTCATGAATACCTGATCTAAAATAGCTATCTAGTTATTCTCAGGTCAAATCTTTCTACTTTTTGTTTGTTTGTTTCTTTAGAGACAGGGTCTCACTCTATCACCCAGGCTGGAGTGCAGTGGAGTGATCATAGCTCACTGTATCCTGGAACTCCTGGGCTCAAGCTATCCTCCCACCTTAGCCTCTAAAAGGCACTAGGATTACAGCCATGAGCCACTGTGCCTGGCCTCATTCTAGTTTAATGATCTGAGTAATACTTATTAATATCTGGTATATCTTGCATGTGTGAACTTAATTTCTCATGAATGTGAGCTCCTTGAGAACTAGGGCCCCTTGTATGTATCTCATTCACTTTGGTATCTCCACCATTTAAATAGTACTTGGCATGATAAATATTTTTTAAATAAATGAATGAAAAACTAACTGAATGCCTTAATAACGTCTGTAAGAATTGGCAGGAATAGGGGTTCCTTGGAGAATAAAAGAGATAATTAAAACAATAGGATTCTTTTTATTATCTTCTGGTACAGTCTAATTGATGCATGTACATGAAAGGTATCTGGCCATCTGGAGGCCTTTATTTTGAAGACGAACTACTTCAAATTATATTTTTTGTCTATAGGGAAATTTTTAAGCCACTTCCAGGTAAATATAGTTTCTAAGCATCCTATCTACTTAATAAGCAATTATACTTAAAATTAAACATTACAGAAATAATGTATAGGCGTGACTTTGCTGCCTTAAATTAACTGCTTCATTCATATATTTAAAAAAAATTTTAGTGTCTTCTATATGTAGAGTCTTCATGCTGTAGAGACTGAAATTTTGACAGTGAGCAGGGCAGAAAAGGGAGTCCTTTCTTCATAGACCTTACAAGTAACAAAATGTAAGATGCAGAACCAACCACCTATAAGCTGGGCACCACTGCTTGGCAGAGTGTAAAATTCTTTTATCTGGACTTTTGTTTTTAAGTTAATAAAGTTACAGACATTAGCTAATATATGTTTTCCAAAAAAAAGTGGCTGAAAAATAATCACTTAAATTATCCTGTGGCCCATAAAAGTATTTTCAACCTGTGCTTTAACCCATTTTTGAATAATCTATGAACAGGCCTAAGAAATCACTACTTTTTAATTTGAAGATATCTAGTCTACCAATTTACTGCCTTGAGAAAAACTTTTAATAGCCTGCTGCCTCCACTTCTTAATCAGAAAAACATATTAGCAAAACAAACATTTCATTCTCAAACCAACAGGAGATGATATAATAGATGTAAAATCCATGGGCCTTTTCATAAATCTAGTTTTCGTATGAAGCATTAATAATGAGTGATAAAATAAAAAATGATTATCTCCTAAATTAGGTCATGAATGTCTATTATTATCCCTTTAGGAAAGAATGAAAATATTTCTTGGAAGAAACAATACTAAGGTATCCAAACCAATAGCTATTTGAATTGCATAAATGAAATGCTATCTCAGCTCCTGAGTGAGTATCAGTTGAACCACATGGGTTCCTGTCATTTTCTTTCTTGTAACATCTTGTATGGCCCTGATTAAATGTAACTGGGAAAAATAACCTTGAAATTGGCTGTGGTGGGAGTATTTGCATCACAGAATTTGGCAAAAACTAGAATTCAGGGACTTCTCCATACCCACTTTTTCTAAACATCCCCTACCCACCCTGCCTCACCCTCTAGGAGCTGATTGTTACACCAGCACACCACTGATTCTAACACACAAATGCGTATATGAATTCTTTTTCCTGCCATTATAAAAACATGTGCATAGAACTGGGAGCCCTGGGGTAATGATGTTGGAGAAGCTTCAGACAGCTCTGAATTTGACAGGTGTTCTGAAATAAAATCCAGCTTGTGAAATCACACACCATCAATGAAACTTCCTAGCTTTTAGAACAGTCTCTTCATAGGAAGAAAGAGAGAGAGAGTGGGGGGAAAGGGGGGAGGAGTGGGAAGGAAAGAAGAAAGGAAGAAAGGAAGGAAGGAAGGAAGACTGGCCAATTTCTTCCCCAAAAGTGTCTATTTCTCATTTATATACCGCAGAATCTGACAGTATTATAAGCCTGTAAAACTTCCTTAGCTGCAAAGATGGATGATTAAACTGCTTTTTCGTTAATTAAAATAAAAAGAGAGTTTTAAGTGAAAACAGGAAGCGAATTCTCTATTTGAAAGTGCACTGGTGCATAGATTTAAACATCATATTCTGTAAAGACAGCCCATTGTGCTAATGGCAAAGCAGTAAACACTATATTATCTCAGATGTGTTCTTCCATGCATTCACACACAAACACAACTATTTATCACAAACAGCCACTTTCTTACACCCCTTAGCCAGAGAATCAAGACAGGACTTAGCAAATAGGAAAGAAAAAGCCAAGCTAAATATTTATTAGTATTTTAAAGTTACAGCGCCCCTTTAGTCGAGGGCCAAGTAGATCTGTCACTGGGTATTTCCTCTGCCTCTTGCCTGGGCTACAGAACATTCTGTTCTCTGGCTTGCTGCATTCACATTTATATAAACGTACAAGTTTCATATGTCAATCTCACACCTTTTTGGAAATTAGTATGGTGTAGAGCAAAGAGCTTATCCTTAAGAAAAGGGCTGTTCAAATGTTGTGCTAAAATGTTGCTTATTTCAGTCTTTTTATGACATCAGAATGTCAGGCACTTAATCTAAAACTTGCTTTTCTCCTTCAGGAAGAAGTCATAATTCGTACCTCACAAGGTTAGCTTGGAGACAACACACATGAAAGAGGCATGCACAATTCCTAATAAGCCTCCCATTGTAGTCCCTTACCTCTCTCTTGCCATATCATTATTGCTTCTCAAACATGAGTAAGCAATCCTTGACCTGTTATGACAAAAACATAGTGGCTTCAGCCCAATTGCCAAAACTGTCCAAATAGCCAAAAAGAGGAATTTAATTTGAATCTTATACACATAGGAAAAAAACCTCTGCCTTTAAATATATCTTTTAGTGCCCTTTAATCATTGTTTTTGTTTGTCTGTCTGTTTCTAGCTTAGGGAAAAAAATCCAGGAATCTTTTTAATAAGAGGGCTGCAGATACAAGTTTAGAGTTTACAGTTCCTGATTAGTGGCTATGTCAATACTAATGCACAAAGAAGGAAATGATTATCATTGTGTACTACTCCTATCACACAGGATACTCATTAGGTGCCTTATCAACATTTAAGTGTCTTATCAACAATCCTCCAATATCCATGGGAGTAAGACAATAGCAATAATAACCACAAAGGCATTAATATACATGGCACACACCTTTAATTTACTTTCATGCCCTTTTCTGTGGGATCACACATTAGTGTACCTACCCTTAGAAGAAGTGAAAATATAATTAGCCACAGGTTTGTACACTCATCAACATGGATATTGATGTAATTAGGCAGAGACATTTGGTAGAACTGAAGATCCTATTCTGAAGCTCCTTTCTATTTGTCACACTTGAGTGATAACTGGGTATTAGATTTTCATGGATTCTCTACTCAACATGAAGATGAAAAATATAACTCTCTGCCCTGCAGTTTAAAGAAGGTAAAGTGGGAGGATAGGTGCTTTAGTATGAGCAGAACATGCAATGACAAAACTACAGTCTACTTCATTTTAGTCTGAATTTCCAGTTGTTTTAGGATTTCTATATTATTCCTCACTTACATATTCCTCTGAAAATGAGAGCATAACTGCATTTTCATAAGCATGTTTTATTTTTCAAGGTATTAATATTTCATAACTGGGAACCATGCCCAGCAAATACACTTAGTAAGTCCCCACAGCTTTATTAAGGTAGACATTTTTGATAACAAATGTATCTGGAAATTAAGGTATTGTTAGTACCTTGTATAGAATTCAGCTAATTAATTTGCTAATTAACCTTCCTCTTTGTTATTTATAGTTTTAGCAACTCTGCCTTTTGCCATATGGTGGTATGCTTCTACATACATGTGTGCCCAAGATAGTTGGTGTTAAAGGGCTCTAATTTAGACTTTAAAAATATGAATGCAAGCTGCAAACTGCCTTGAAGCAATGTAATGACCTGAAACTCATCCTTTTTCAACCCTGCCTTCTTTCCCTCAAAGTCTTCTGCACTCCTAAAGCTAAAAGTATATTCAGCCACAAATATTTAGGAAAATTAGGGAAGGGATAAGGCTGGTATTTGGCTAAATGAATCTGAAACTCTAAGTAAGAAAGCCCAAAGGGATGGCATTTGAAAAGTGCCTTGGTTAATAACCTGTAATCTCCTTTGTCTGAGATAGACATTCACATCCTCTAAAATGTCTATTTCAGCACAGTTAGCTCGCAGTATAGATTCCTACGCCCACCAATCTGAAAGATAATTTATGCCTGGTTCCTTGCAGGGATTGTTTTAAGAACTCTAGGCTTGAAACAAGGCAAACATGGACTTTTTGGGTAATGCCTGGAATTAAATCCTGACCTCAGTATTACCACCAATTCCAATGAACATTAGTAAGTAGTTTCCCAAATGCACCATTTTCAAAGTTATTAATAATAATAAAAATAAATCTCTATCTCAGTCCCTTTTACCCAATGTTAGTTGGTAAAAATATACTTTATCTGAGAATTTTGTGAAATTCTCTGCTTCATTTTAGCACTGCTGAATGCTAGAAATTAGGACATAATTTAGCAATCATTTGCTTTTTTTCATGTAGCTTTGCTTTTCATAATATGAGGCTTAGGGAAAAGACCTAATGTGTACATGAATCATTTGGAAGGAAAAGACATCAATGGACAAATGACAGGCCTGAAGAAAAGGAGAGTGATAACGAAAGGAATGTCTAACCACAGAGATCTCCTTAATTTGGAAATCTGAATAAACGATGACGTTAAACTGCCGTCTTTCAATGGCAACTAAAAACTACTACTAACCTCAGAGTTCTTACATTTTTTAAATGATAGAAGCTTATAGTTTATTTGGTGATGGATTATCATAATTTAGTGTTTTAAAAGCTAGCAAAGCAGTAATTTCTTGTCATCCAAGAAATTTACATATGAAAAAGGCAGATGTCTTTAAAGTGCTTTAGACAAACGACACAATATTTTCTATTTGGGATAAATAGCCTTTGGGGTTTTTGCACAACATAATTAATGCATGTGTACATATGTATATATACACAGATGCATGCATATATATTATACACATGCCTTATTTAAGCAAGCACGTTGATTAGATCGACACAGCTTTTTATCGTGATCTGGGGAAGCTTTTTCCACCCATAATTTATATTAATTAGTAATTAGTTAATTGGTTTAGCAATCTGTTATTGACCTGTATCCTCCTCCAAAAGATATGTTAAAGTCCTAACCTCCAGTATCTGTGAATGTAGCGTTATTTGGAAATAGAGTCTTTGCAGATGTAATCAAGTTAAGATGAGGCCATTAGGATAGGCTCTAATCCAATGTGATTGGTTTCCTTATAAGAGGAAAATGCCATGTGCAAAGAGAGACATGCAGGAGGAATGCTATATGACAACAAAGGCAGAGATTAGAGTGATGTAGCAGCAAGCCACAGCATGCAAAGGACTGATCGCCACCAAAGAAGCAAGGGAAGATTCTGTGTAGAATCTGAGAGGAAGCACAGCCCTGACAACACCTTGATTTCAGACCCCCACCCTCTAGAAGTACGACAGGATAAATTTCTGTTGTTCTAAGGCACCACGCTAGCGTTAGTTATAGGAGCCCTAGGAAATGAATATGCCATCTAATTGGTCATTCAACAAATATTTCTTGAGCTCTTTTTATGAACCTGAGATTGTGCTAGCTGCCAGAGTTACAACACTGAGTTATACAGATTATGACTGTGCTCTTATGGAGGAAAAACAATAGGATAAAACATGGTCCAGAGGCAGAACCGACTATTGTGGGAGCATAAATCAGAGGCTGCTAATAGAGGGCCATGGAAGCATTCCCACTGTAAGTGACTTTGTGCTGAAATTTGGAGGATGAGTAGGAGTTAGCCTAGAAAGGAATGGGGGAAGCTTGTTTCAGACAGAGAAAACCACATGGCCAAGCTCTGAAAAGCAAAAGAGAAGGCTTGAACATTCAATGAACTTTTATCCTATCAGAAGAAAGATACCAATGGTCAGAGATGAAAGGCACAGATTGAGAAGGCTTTGACAGTTTCTTAAGGAATTGTGATTTTTATTCTGTGAGAGGGAGAAGATATTTAGGATTTTTTTTAAAAAAGAGGTTGATATGATCAGATTTCCATTGAGAAAAAACACGCTGGCTGCAGTGTGGAAAATGGATTGGAAAGTGAGAAAGACTAAACATGGGCAGCCTGCACCTTGGGAAAGCTGATAGAATTCAACAAGCATTCTGCTATAGATTTGCCCATTGTTTCAATTCTCAAGGACTTTCACATGTAATTTTACGTGAAACTTCCACCAAACTGAAGAGGAAAGTAGACCAGAGATGACTCTCCAGTTTACCTAGTCAAGAACTGTGACACAACAAAATAAAGCAAATTGCCAGGAATCACACAGCTGGTTGACAATGAAACTGGAACTGCAAACGTGTCCTGTTAACTTCCTGCCATGTGTGCACTCCATTATATAGGAATGCACATTGCCCTCTAATTAAAATTTTACTGCCATCAGGGGGAAGGCATCACTGCATAAAGCCAGGATAATGCACTGGAAAGCTCAATCTCCAACAGCTGGAGTAGAGGGCCTGCTGGGACTCTTCTTTTTCTCCGCAAGCACACATGTGCACAGCTCCACCAAGTGGAAGAAAACACCTCATGTTAGTTCCCAGGTTCAGGGAGGAAGAAACCTCATTCTCTTCAGCCAAAAATGTTGCAGCCAAAAATGTTCAGCCAAATATGTTGCAGAGCAGGGATTGGAGAATAATAATAATCTTATTGTGTCATTACATTTGACTAGATTAGGTAAAATATATGTACTTTATTAGATGAGCCATCCAGAATTGCTGGGGGAGGAGAAGAGGAGAAGGATGTTTTTGTTTTGTTTTTAAGAAATGGGGTCTAACTATGTTGCTCAGGCTAGAGTACAGTGGCTAGTTATGTGTTACCATGGCACACTACAGCCTTAAACTCTGGGCTCAAGCGATCCTTTTACCTCAGCTTCCCGAGTAGCTGGAATGGCGAGGGTATGTTCTTAAACCATGAATCACCATCCCACTGATAATGTTGTTAGCTCTAGATGTGGCCACTAAGCAGCAAAAGAGTGTCTTCCTGATTTCAACCTAATCAGAATTCACGTATTTGTGCACAAATGGGAAGATTAGGAGCTACAGGAGCCTTCATCCTCTGCTAAGAAAGACTCTATTGATAATGCAGTCTTCCCTCTATGGAAGACCAAGATCTCCTCATTTTTTTTGAATTTCTAAACACACACACACACACACACACACACACACGTGCAGATACACACACATTCCACCCAACAGAGTAGGGTTCAAAAATGGATTAAGGACCAACAATTTATGAAAGGGGCTAAACTATTTGTGAGTATTTTCTTTCCTCCTCAGGTTCATGGTGTGATAAGCAAGGTCTGTAGCCAACCTTCTCTTGGAAGGTCTTTTGCAAGACCACGTAGCTTTACTGCTGTGGCCACAGTATAGGAAGGTATAGAGGGCTCAGATTAGGCTAACACTGCTGTAAGCCCTTTGTTTCCATGGTTTTTGGTGCAGTTTAAGAGGTAAAATCCACAAGGCCAAGTTCAGAATGTTAGCCTAGGAAGAAAGTTCTAAAACAGGTTAGCCACTTGTCCTACATCCTAGGCTTTCAGCTAAAGAGTCAAAGGAAACATAAATAGAGCTTATATGGTCTTGTCCTGCTCTCTGGGATAGGAAACTACATACATACAGATTGGAGACTGAACCCAACTACATTAATACAAAATGGAGACCAAACCCAACTAGTCATAAACTTTTCATTGAACTGAAGTGTCTCCACTGGGCATTTCTTCTTGGTGATCTAACAGGAGATGACTGTGGAGGATTTGAAGATATGAGACATAGTCCATATCTTCCTTAGAGCTCTTCCCCCCATGTCAGTTGAGAAGCTCTTCTACAGCTGTTTGTTAATTAAGGAGAAGCAGTGGAAGCTGGCAATGCACAGCTAAGACTCTGGGATGTTGGAAATACACTAATTTGTATTTGGCAGAGAGAAAATTGAAAAGCTAAACATCTTACTGAAAACAACAATCAGTGTGATGGAAAATCAGGCTCCTTCTCCAAGTCTTCAGCTTCAAGAATCAGTGCCACCATGGGCTGGGTCATTGTTTGCATTAATGAAAGGCTTTAGATGAGCTTATGTCACCACTTGGATAGAGACAGCCAGGGCAAGTCTCACCTATACAGGACACACTGGCTTATTAGGGCATCCCTGGGGAAGAGCTTTTTGTGGAAAGTACTGGCATTTGGATGAGAAGAGAGCTCTAAACCCCAACAGCTGTGACAATGAATGATCCCTTGGTACTCTTTGGGAGGTGAGGAGAGACATTAACCTTGTACTGCAGCCAAATTTCATTTTATTGTATCCTTGTTTCTTAAATCTGTGCTCTCTGCCCCAAACAAGAGCAATTGGACATTATATACTATTTGCTTTCCAGCCCCTAAAGTCAAGACATTGTTGTTGCCCAATAGCATCTTAAGGTAGATTAAGTGGTTACACATTCTATCATACTATGTCAACAGGGTGAGGTGGTGGGAAGTGGGGTACTAATTCATTAATAGCCATTATCTTTTGCGATACCCAGAGCAATGGTATTAAATCTACAAAACCTCTTGAGTTCGTTTCTCAGCATTTTCTTTATTCACTCAATAAATTGTTGTGGAGTAACTGGAAAGACACAAAGATGAATACTGCATGGCCCCTGTCTTGGAGTCTGCAGTCCAGTGAAGGCATGCATGTGAAGAATTAGAAAGGGCCATACTAGAAGTATATCCAGGTCATGATGGAAGCATAGAGAAAAGAGGGATCACATCTTCCCAACAAACAGTGAACTCCACATGCAAACTGAATAGAATCCCCTACTCAATAAATCACAAAATATTTATGGAGCCCCAAAATCATATTGTGACAAGGTTTTTCAAAAAAATGTAGAAACTAAGTTATGATACAATCACATGTCAGGAAGATATGTTGGAGAGGAGAGAGCAGAGAAATAGTTGTAAAAAGGAGATCTTTCTTATCAAAAGACTTGGGGAAATGATGTGTGCAGGCAGAAACAAGAGGTAGTGATGGAGTGGGTGGGAAAGTCCTCCATCAAGGAAGCAATTGAATAAGAATCAACAAACAGGTAAACAAGATAGGTAGAAGCAGAGAGGCTGGATTGGATCAGATTATCAGGCTGTTTAATGTCAGACTAAGGAGTTTAGAATTGATTTTTCGTGGTAGATTGTTGCAGATTTTTGAGTAGGATAGTGATATTGACTCTGGACAGCAGCTGGATTAAATAACTTTTATGATCTATGCATAATTAATCAGCAGATTACAGAAGTGATTCCTAAAGACTGAGATTTGAAGCAGCAATGACTCAGGGAAAGATAACTCAGCAATTAAAGTCTACAGAGATAAAAGCCAAGTAAGCATAATAGTAAAGACGGCTTGAGAATCAAATCGACCTGTTATGTGACCTCTGCCAAGTGATGAAAACTGTAAATTTTTCTGTCTGGCTTCATGTTGCTATAACACAATACCATAGACTGGGTAACTACAAATAATATACATTTACTTCTCACAGTTCTGAGACTAAGAAGTCAAAGATCAAGGCACCAGCACATTTGGTGTCTGGTGAGGGCCTTCTTGCTGTGTTCTCACATGGTAGAAGGTGCAAATGCTATGTCCTCACATGTTGGAAGATAGAAAGGCAAAAAGGGCCTAAGTTAGTTTTCTCCAGCCCCTTCATAAGGCCCTAATCCACTCATGAAGGCTGGCCACTCAAAAAGGCCCTGCCTCTTAATACTGCAAAATGGGGATTTAGTTTCAACATAATTTTGGAGGGGGCATATTCAGCCCATAGTAGTGTCTATTTTCCCATGTGTATAATGAGGTTAATAATAGAGCTGATGTCATAGGTTATTAAGAGAATTAACTGAGGCAATGCAGGTAAAGCACTTTGCTTGTCCAGCCCACTGTGAACACTCAAGAAATACTAGTTACTTTTGTTGTGATAACTTTTGTTGCCTTTGAAACACTGAGGAAGGGTTTGGAGAAGTTTACTGGAAAGGAAAAGCTAATAGGATGGGGGACATTGAAAATAGGGGCAAAAATTCACGTTATAGATACAGTGAATGGCCTGGTACATCAAAATGACATAGGGAGCACAAGGGGGTGTCAGTGGAGTCCTGGACAAGTAGTACTCCAATATACCTTCCTGACATGTGATTGTATCATAACTTAGTTTCTACATTTTTTTTTGAAAAATCTTGTCACAATATGATTTCGGGGCTCCATAAATATTTAGTGATTTATTGATTAGGGGATTCTATTCACTTTGCATGGTGAGTTCACTGTTTGTTGGGAAGATTTGATCCCTCTTTGTCCTCAGTGAAGTCCTCAGACTTCAACCGAGTGTCAGGCTTGGAGAATCTTCTATGAGAGAATCAAGTATACTGGATGCTCACCAAGAAGTAGCAATTAATTGCATGGAAATATTAGAACATTGTTCTTGGCTCTGAGGATTTGATTCGTCATTGTTCGAACTTGGTGCATGGCTAAAGAATGCTTTGAAAGGAGGAAAAGTAATGAAGGAATAAAATGGAAGAGCTTTGAAGTTAAAGTATTAGCAGGTTCCCTGGCTTCCACTAAATTAGGTTGTCACATGTCATTTATGCAAAATTTCATTATATCCAAGTTTTTATTATGGAAGGTTTCTGAAATAAAGGGAAAAGAGAGAAAACGAATTTAAATGATACAACTTCTCTTCATAAATAATTTCCTTTTTTTAGTTTTAGGATGGTTCACAGGTTATTTTATTGAGAACAAAAGAAATAAATTTCCACTACTTTATTTTGCCAGCCAATAGTCAAACTTCCCCCTTGAGTTCAACTCTGAGAAGGTAGTAATTCACTTGTCTCTTTAACAGCATGGCTGTGAATAACTATAAGAATCCAGAATTAGTGGGAATGAATTTTCTTTAGCTAGTAGCATACTAGCAAAGAGACCAAAAAGAATAAAATTTTGACGGAGGGCACATTTCCTAAAGAAACACTGACTTAATAAGTTATAAATTAACTTAAAAATATAATTTTTAGAATAAATTATAAGACAGAATGAAAAATTACATAATATATATATTATGATATATAAATGCACAATGAATATTTTTATATTATTATATATAAGTATATAATAAATAATATTGAAATATGTTAAGATGCAGGATAACTGTTATAGTCTGTTCTCACGCTGCTAATGAAGACATACCCAAGACTGGGTAATTTATAAAGGAAAGAGGTTTAATTGACTCACAGTTCTACATGGCTGGGGAGGCCTCAAATTCATGGCAGAAGGCAAATGAGGAGCAAAGTCACATCTTACATGGTGGCAGGCAAGAGAGAACTTGTGTAGGGGAACTCCCCTTTATAAAATCATCAGATCTCATGAGACTTACTATCATGAGAACAGCAGGGGAAAGACCTGCTCCCATGATTCAATTACTTCCCATTGGGTCCCTCCCATGACAAATGGGAATTATGAGAGCTACAGTTCAAGATGAGATTTGGGAGGGGGCCACAGCCAACCCCTATCAATAACTATACAAGGACACATGGTGAAGTAGAGAAAAGCTTATACCTACACATGGAATCACTGTGAATCTGATCATTACAAATGTACACTGATCCAGGTGCATTCTCATGGGGACTTCAATACCATAAACAGCATTGTGGTCTCTAGCTGATTTTCTAAAGTGAAAAATAACTCTTAAAAAAGTTCTTCATTTTTTACGGCTGCATAGTATTCCATGGTGTATATGTGCCACATTTCCTTATGTCCTTTGTAGGGACATGGATGAAAATGGAAATCATCATTCTCAGTAAACTATCGCAAAGACAAAAAACCAAACACCGTGTGTTCTCACTCACAGGTGGGAATTGAACAATGAGAACACATGGACACAGGAAGGGGAACATCACACTCTGGGGACTGTTGTGGGGTGGGGGGAGCGGGGAGGGATAGCATTGGGAGATATACCTAATGCTAAATGACGAGTTAATGGGTGCAGCACACCAGCATGGCACATGTATACATATGTAAGTAACCTGCACATTGTGCACATGTACCCTAAAACTTAAAGTATAATAATAATAATAATAATAATAAAAAGTTCTTAACCAAATCAAACAACAATCTTCTGTCAATATGTACAGCAATTTCACACACCCTTGGAAAATTCAGTGTATTAAAACCATGAAAATTTTGTGCATGTTTATCTGTAAATGGAGTTATAATTGAGTTCAATCATTACGAATAGGATTTTCACCCATGTGAATATATTGGGGAGACTATATAGTCATGAGGGATACCAAAAAGAAAAAGAAACAGGAAATCCTAACTCTGCCATCTAAATAGCTATTATAGTACCTCTTAACATTGTGACTACCAAAAACCCACCACAAATTCCCAAAGACCCCCTTTTGGGAGCTGTCCCACCCCTACTGAGAACCAGTAGCTTAGAGCAAGAGAGCAGACAATGTGCTTTGAGTTGCCATCTGGTATTTGGCCTGTTGTTTATTTCCCCCCATAACTATTTATATTTGTTTTTGTGAAATTAAGAAAAGCTTTTGAAATTTATTTCCACATGCTGAGTTGAAGAGTACTAAGAAGAACTCTTAAAACACAGCTCACCTATTTAGAATCAACTTCCCCAAATCTTTGGTCAGTCTTACCCATTGGATATTCTGTTTTTAAAAGAAAAAGACAAATCAATAAAATATACTTTAATAAAGGAAATAAGTAGCAAGAAACTTCCCTGGCCTATAGAGGAACAAAGTTTTTCATGATTTTAATGCACCTTGAATTGTTTTGAATGTAAATGAAGATTTTTGCTAAGTTCCCTTTTCTCTGTCTATATTTTTATTTGGACAAAATTAAATATTTAGAATGATAATGTCAAAACACTCTATGGCAGGAATTCTTAACCTGGGGTCTATTGCTGGGGCCTCAAATGTGGGCTGCAAGGATCTATAAATTTATGCAGAATTCTCTCTCTTTCTCTCTCTGATTTCTGGGAAGATTATCCATTGTTCTTATTACGGTCTCAAAATAGTTTGTTTCAAAAATGTAAAACAAACAAACAAAACAATGCTCCAAAATTTTCAGCTATCAAGAATTAAGTCTAACCCAATATTTTTCTTAATGAAGAAGAAAATGGCTCAGTAGTCTTTTGAATGATTTTTCAACACAAAAGTTAAAGGAAATAGGGAATTCAGAGTGACATTCAATAAAGCAGAAAATTAACTGGAACACACCAGGAAATTGAGGTTTTATGATGTCCCTTACAAAGGTAAAGGTAACACACACACACACACACACACACACGATTTCCCAGGTAAATGATCAGCCTACATGGATTCCCAAAGGAAATGCCTGGCAACAAATCAACACTTAAGCCCCAGTGTTTTTCATGCACTCAAAGTGAAGCTGTTGTTGGTTGCTGTTAAGTTAAAAATGCATTAACTTTATATACACACTGAACGGAGTGGAAACAAAACAAAACAAAACAAAAACCTTAGCTGTAAACACAATTTTCCTTGCTGTTTCTCAATCACTTTTCCTTTCTACTGAAAAGACTATGCAATGACTAACATGCCTTGCCTATTTTTATGCAACAATAGGGTAAGCCAAGGTGTGCATAATCAGTGCAATTTATAACCACTGCATCCCTTCTGTGATACGAATGAGTATGAGAAACTAATTGACCAGCATCTGCAGTTGTGTAATAAGTCAAATCTCAGCAGGCGAAGTGGGTGTGGAGCCTGAATGTTGTTTGCCTACATGTCTTCCAAATGGAACTCCCCTCTTGCAGAGTTTATACCATGCCCTATTTGAGAAGGAACATTCAAAAAGGGACACTGTGCTAGAGAAAATGAGATCAACTACAACATTTCTATCCCTCAACAAAATTAGCATTGTTTTGTTGTGAGATGGACAGTCTGTGACTATCACTTGCCTGGTTAGGCAGGTGACAACCAACATTTGTCCTTGGTCTCTGGTAATACAGCAGGAGGTTAACTTCTTCCCTTATGATGCACTCCAAATCCATAGGCTCCTTGAGAGAATGAGCTGAGCTTCAGCACTATAATAATAAAAAAAACTTCTTTCTAGAGATTCCAAATTGCTAGCTACTACTGTTCAGTTTTAACATTTGAAGAAAGAAAGGTGATTGCAGTCCAGCAAAAATGACTAAAAGTGCTCCATATGGAAATCTATTTGGGGAGAGAAGGGAAATCATCAGTGTGCAAGGAGATTTCACAGACTTTTAGCACTTTATTTAATCCTAACAATTCTGAAAGTAGGACTACCATTCTTCCAAAATTACTGATGCTGAATTTGAGTCTCACATAGATGATACCACTAGTAAGTGGTCTAACAGGTATTTTTATCCAGGACTGTGGAATGATTCCAAAACTGATATTCTTTCATTTTACTAGTATTATTTTTTTAAAAGGCATGAAGTATAAATTTGAAAGTTTTCTAATATAAATGTAGAAATCTAAGACATATTTCTTTTGAAATGTTTTCATAATACTAAGGCATGTGTGTTTTAAACAGTGGGACAACTAGAATAAGCACAAATTGATTGCTAGAATGGAATAATTAACAGGGAATAGGATTTTTAAGATAAACTAATTTACTTCTTAGAACAACACTATGATTGAAGATTATTTTAAAGCTGAGAAAACTGAGACTTGGAGAGATTTAATAAATTGCCCAAGGTCTTATCACTAGAAAAAAACAAGAATAGGACTTTGACCCAGGTTGCCAACTTGTTATCCATGACATCATGGTAATCAATTGTATTTTTTAGAGGAAGCTAACTGCTAGAACTAATAGATCAAAAACTTTCAAATGGATCAAACACAGCAGAAGTTTATTTTTGTGGTCACATTTTTTTTTGCTAGGTGGGAAAACAGATTGTTAGGGTAGTTCTCCTCCACAAAATTATTCTAGAATTCAGGGTGAGCAAGCCTTGTCCATTTTGACATATGGCCTTCCAGTTGTCCTGGGTGTCATTTCCAATTCATCTAGCTGGAGGGGAAAGGGCATGGAGGAGCTCATGTCCATGGGAAGTTTTTACAGGCCAAGCCTGGAGGTGGTATACAACAGATCTTCTCACATTGCATTTACTAGACCTTAGTCATATGGTAATACCTAAGAGAAGATGAGAAATATAGTTTAAACATGAGCCCAAGAAAGACAGGAGAACATGGTTTGGGTGAAGAAACTAGAGTCTCTGCCACACTGACTTAGAAGATGGATTGCCTTTAAAGTTAGAAAAGAATAGGTCCAGGAATGGTGGAAACTACTAGAAATTTTCTGGAAAGGCATTGCAACTGTGTGTATCAGCTAAGAACCCAGGCTATGGAATTAGGTAGCATGGTATCAAAACCAAAAGCGAATAGTCGCTACGTGACTTTAGTTTTACTTTCTCTGTATCTTAGTTTTCTCATATTAAAATGAAGACAAAGTACTGATTTCATGGGTTGTAGGTAGGATTTAATGAGGTAAAAACACAGCAGAGAAAGCTAATTGCCTTGTAATACTCATTCTTTCCTTCTACCTATTAAATAATAGAACCTTCTATGTTTCAGGAGAGCAAATGTTCCCCAATAAGAGACTATTTCTTGGACTTCCTTGTAAGCTGGGTATGGCCATGTCATATTGAGCAATTTATGAGCTCAATAAATTGAGCAATTTATTCAGTTGGACAATGAGCTATGAGCATAATCCAGACCAGATTCTTAACAAGAAGCTGTTTGCCCTTTATTTTCTCTTTTCTCAGGGATGTCTCTTTGGTCTCTTTTCTCAAGGATGGCTCTTTGGTCTCTTTTCTTAGGGATGGGACCAGATGAGGTACAAGGAGCTGGTTTCAACCTATGAAGAAAGGAACACTTCAAAGGACGGTGAAACAACACCACAGAAGGTATCTGATGCCTTGGATGACCCAAAGATTGCTGCCCTAAGTTGCTACACTGCTCACCATTTTAGGCTTTCATGTGAGAGAGAAATAATCAATCTTATTTAAAGCAGCCATTTTAGTCTCTGTTAAAGCACCAAAATAAATACCTCGCTATTACAACTGCCAAAATACCTGTAACAGTTCCTCGCACATAGGAAATGCCCAACAAATAATCAGTACTGTCTTCGTCCATTTGTATTGCTATAAAAGAATACCTGAGGCTCAGTTACTTATAAAGAAAAGACGTTTATTTGGCTCATGGTTCTACACAATGTGTAAGAAGCAATGATCTGGCATCTGCATCTGTGAGGGCCTCAGGCTGTTTGCACTCATGGTAGAAGGTGAAGGGGAGCTGGTGTGTGCAGAGATCACATGGAGAGAGAGGAAGCAAGAGAGAGAGGGGGAAGAGGAACCAGGCTCTTTTTAACAACCAGCTCTGCGGCGAGTCGGGGGACAACTCTCACAGAAACTAATAGAGCAACAAGTCACTCAGTTCCTACCCACCCCAGGGAGGGCATTAATGTATTCATGAAGGATCTGCCCTCATGACCCAAACACCTCCCATTAAGCCCACCTCCAATGCTAGGGATCAAAGTTCAACAAGAGATTTGGAGGAGTCTAACAAACCATAGCAATTACTATCAATATTTCATAAGGCTAGTATTTCTAGAGTCAATTTCTCAAGTGTATGCAAAGGAAAGGAGAGGTAACAATTCCCAGAATAAAAGCAGGGATTTGAGTAATAGGGTAAAATGATTTTGAGAAATACTGAATTAAAAGTAAATGAATTTCTCTACTACAGGATTTCTTAGTGCTAAATCTGCTAATACTAATGATTGATCCCAAGGAAAAAGAATGTGCAAGGTTTCCTAAACTTATTAGACCATGGCACTTTTTTTCCGGAAGCATATTGGTGAGATAGTAATCTGTGGATACACTTTGGGGAAATATTTCACTAGAGAATGAATTACAAAAATTGTCAAAGAACCAGGTTAAGATTATTCCATAGGAATGCCTTATACATATGTGTGTGGCATTTGAGTACATAAAATGATACTAATTTATATTATTATAATTAAAAACCAAGCTTCTACATTCTTCATACTGTTTTTAAAACAAATATTGTGAATCACTAGCTATAACTTTCTGAGTTAATCATGAATTTCAAAGTCAAGTAATTTATATATCCTAGGTAACCACAGAGAAAGAGAATCAGAAATGGAGAAAGACAAAGGAAACCAGTGGGGTGGGTTCAAGTCATGGCTACCCTTATGTTAATGGGGGGCATTTCTGAGACCTTGATATATTTTTCTATCCAAACCATTCTAAGCTGATGAAATAATAAGTATATATTTGGAAATAATGCATGGAAAGTAAATTCGACAACAACCAAACCACAAAATGTAAAGAAGCATGGATTCAACTGTAGCTAACACGTCATGCTGACCACAAAGTCTTTTATTAATAACAAATATCTGCGTGAAATAGTCATACAACTACATATCTCCCTTTGAAACATTCTCATAGATAAATACTACGGTTGGGTGATTTCACAGGTTATTTTGAGTCCACAGTGTTTAGCTAGGGTTTCATATTTTTTTGTTTGTGTGTCTTTTGAGACAGTGTCTCGCTCTGTTGCCTAGGCTGGAGTGCAATGGCATCATCATGGCTCTCTGCAACCTGGACCTCCTGGGCTCAAGCAATCCTCCCACTTCAGCCTCCTGAGTAGCTAGGACTACAGGCATATACCATCACACCTGACTTTTTTTTTTTTTTTTTTTTTTTTGTAGAGACAGGGTCTCTATATTGGTTGGTTTCAAACTCCTGGGCTCTAACAATCATCCTACCTCGGCTTCTCAAGGGTTGAGATTACAGGCACAAACCACTGCACCTGGCCTGGAATTCATCTTTAAGAGATAAAATGACCAAAACTTAAATTATAGAATGAATTACAAAATATGGTTCCATTAAGTTTGATGAAGTAGCCAGCTATAGAAGCATGCTTTCACTTTCTTTCTCTCCTATCATATTAATACAAATTGGAGGAAAGAAAACAGGAATTAAAAGATCCTTACTTAACATTGTAAGATGAGTTTATGTTTTTATGAGCCAGCTGTTAGAAGGGAAACACAAAAGATTCTCTCTGACAGGCACTTATGAGGAACATACTAACAGTTGAATGAAGGTGAGCCAATTAAACCACTTACTCTTGCCTAATAGAGTTCTTTAGAGTCCAAGCACCTGGCTTGGAGTAAACATTTACTTTTTGCGGCATGATATTTAATCAGCTCATCAGGTGGTGAAGAGCTCCATCCAGGAGGGAGTTTCTCTCTGACCTTACACTTCTCTTAATTGGAAACATCATTTAGTGCTGTAGCCCCTCTCCTTCCTTAAGTATCTCCTCTGCTTAGACGAATCCCACTTTTTAATTCAGCACTGCTTTAAGGATGGGTGTGACAAATTTAGGGATTTAGAAAGCTTCCCAGAGTTTCTCCCCAAGTGCTGAAAGACAAAAGACAGTTTTAGGTCGTACAGGAGGAAAAGAAGGCGGGAGACAGAGACTCAGCAGCTGAATATGGGGCCCTTTCAGCCTTAATTAGGAAGTGGAGGAATAAAAAAATATCCCCATTGGAGTTGTCTGGAAAAGTAGAAACTGACGTGTTTGAAATATTTAGGACAACGGAATACATTAATATCATCTTTCTCAACACTAAAGCTCTAAATGGGAGGTGGCACTAAGACTTGAAAATATCTCAAGCAATAACCTTATATTACAGATGAAAAGAGGAGATTGCAGTAGGGTTGATTTGCCCCATCAGTCAGATTGGTTAATGATAAAATTAGAATGCAAACCCTCTGGCTCCCAGTCTGGGTAGAGGTCAAGAGCATTGACTTGGCAGCCACACTATTTTGTTTGAATTTGGGCTCTATGATTAATTAACTGTGCAGATTTGAGCACATTATTTGCCTTCTCTATCTGTTTTCTCAGCTGGAAATGAGGACAATAGTAGTATCCACCTTGTAGGCATGTTGTGAGGATTAAGTAAATTTATATGTATAAAGTACTCAATATAGCATCCCGGACAACATAAAGTACCCTTGAACAACACAGGTTTGAACTGCGTGGGTCCACTTACATGCGGATTTCCTTCTGCCTTTGCCATCCTTGAGACAGCAAGACTAACCCATTCCCTTCCTCCTCCTCCTCAGCTACTCAACCTGAAGACAATGACAACGAGGAAGACTTTATGATGATCAATTTCCACTTCTTAATGAATAGTAAATATATTTTCTCTTTTTTTGTGATTTTCTTAATAACATTTTATTTTCCAACTTTATTGTAATAATATAGTGTAATGTATATATATAACATATGCATTAAAAGACTGTTATCAGTAAGATTTCTAGTCAATGATAGGCTATTAATAGTTAAGGCTGTGGGGCGTCAAAAGTTATCTACACAGCTGGGGAGGCTGAGGCGGGTGGATCACCTGAAGTCAGGAGTTTGAGATCAGCCTGGCCAACGTGATGAAACTCCATCTCTGCTAAAAATACAAAATTTAGCCAGGCATGGTGGTATATGCCTGTAATTCCAGCTACTTGGGAGGCTGAGGCAGGAGAATCTCTTTAACCCGGGAGGCAAAGGTTGCAGTGAGCGAAGATCATGCCACTGCACTCCAGCCTGGGCAACAGAGCAAGACTCCATCTGAAAAAAAAAAAAGTTATAAACAGATTTTTGACTGTAAGGGTGGTTGTCACCCCAATGCCTGCATTATTCAAGAGCCTGCTATATAAGGATACTGTGTAAGTGTTATCAGTTTCTGTTCTTTTTCTCTGTCACCTGACTTTGGTTAAACTCTATCCTCTGCAGTAGTAGAAACAGACATTTGTCTTGTCAACATAGATGCTCAAAACCAGCACCAGTATGAGTGAGCCCACTGTGCTATAAAACCATCATGAGATAGCTTGCAAGGGCTATCTTCAGCTCCAGGGAGAGTTCTGGGCTCTCTGACTGAGCAGAGAAATCCACATGACCTATAGCTCTTTGTTGTTCCTCAGATCTACCATTCTTCAGAGTTGAAAGGATTCAAGTTGAGTTTCCTTACCTGATGAAATAGATAAGAAGTAGCCAAGGGACTAAAAATTCTTCTGCTCTTCCTTTACCCATGTGAGGTCAGCAACACAGAGCTACTAGCACCCATTACAGCTGGGGTGGCTGTGGGCTCATAAAGTCACTTGCGATTTTTTTTTTAGTTCTTCCATCAGCAGGTGCTGAAAGGCTGATAAACATTTGTCATTTACCAATCTCATGGCCATCTGGAGACACAGTTATCTCTGCAGAGCTTTTTGATACTTCTGAAAAAAGAGGAATGCCAGAGGTTGCACTCCTACTAATGCACTGATTGGGAAGCTGTTTTATCGCATCACTTCCTCCCAGTCCCACTTTCCTGGGTGAGACCTGACCATTTTAAAGCATTTAGCTGCAGGAGAAAGATGTTGCAGGGACAGATTTGCTATGACTCACAGAAAAATAAAATGTTATTTTAAAACTGTTTCTTTACTTTGAACCTGGCTGGCTTCTCTTTCAGCCAAGGCTGGTGACTCAAGCTGGGCCTGTCTAGGTGTAAACAAACAAATGTAAGTAAACGCTTTGGCCATTTTAGTACAAGTTGGCCCAACTACATGAAACTATTCTAATGAGCTAAAGTGAGTTGGAATGGTAAACTCTTTGGGCTGTCTGACTGCCTTTTGTTTAAATGGCATGGTCTTGGATGGCAACAATAGTTTCTACAATTTATTGAGTGCTAATTATGTACCAGAAGTCTTAGACCATTGGCCTTTCTTTCCTTCTCCCACCTGCTAGAAAGTAATACATTTTTACAGCATGAAATGGTACACATCACACATACACACAGAGACAACTAAAAGCTTTATTAAATCATATGTACCTTAATACATACAATGCACTACCATGTTTTCTTATTCTGCTCTAAGTTATTTTGTGTTCTAAACTACCGGTCTTGACCCATCAAACTGATTGTATTACTCACAAATGAATTGCAATGTACAGTTAAAACCACTGCCTTAGACAAATTTGTTCCTTGTAATAACCTTTCAAGGTAGACACTTATATCAGATTCTATGAAGAATAAAGAATAGTTAATAAGGGGAACTAGTTAAAGAGGCTTGGAAGAGCTGAAATGCCTCATAGGGAACAGGGAGGTAGTCAAGATATTAGTTATATCAGGAAGCAGCTAGCACCTGTCAGGCTGGAGGAACCAAGGAAATGGTGGTTTTAGAGCATGAGGAGCTGGGCTGCCTGCAGAGAACTGACTAGCAGTGAGTGGGATCAGGAAAGGTGGGACCCCAGAAGGTGGGCTGTCCTAGGTATGCTGGAACTGAAAGAGGAGAGCAGTTACTATTGGAGATACGTTTCAAAGGGAAATAGAGACAGGGGAAAGGAGAAAAGAGGGAAATAACTTGGCTTCCCCGTGCCTCTCACCATCAGTCTCCTACTACTGCCTTCCATGGCTAAATCTAGCTAGCAGCCAGTGCAAATGCCATTTTCAGGGATCCACTCTCTGAGATACAGAGATACAAAGGGAAAGATATCTGACATCCAACAGCCAATCCAGCTGCACAGTGAGGTCAACTTCGTGGTATGTGGCCTGCCCAGTGGTACAGCCCCCATGCTCAGAAGGGCCACACACCTATTTGATGCTCTGCCATTACTGTCTTGAAGTTCATGTTCTTTGAACAAAAGGGTCCCAATTTTCATTTAGTACTGGGCCTACAAATTATGAAGCTGTTCCAGTACACAGCATTGTTATTCCAATTGTACAGAACAGAATACTGTGGCTTAGAGAGTTTAAGTGGCTTACTGTGGATTTCAGAAAAAAGGAAAATTTGAAACCAGCCTGGTGTGTCTGAGGCCAAAGTCCATGGGTCCCTTTCATCCCCCAAGCAGTACTAAAAAGCAGAGAGGAGAATTGTGCAGGTAAATCTTCTCCAGTTTATAGAGGGAGGCACTCATATTCTCCACCACTTCTATGAAGAAAATAATTCCTGCTATTCCCTTTTGGCCACTCCAGGCCACAAATAAACATTAACTCAGCCTTTAGGGGCTTGTTAAGAGCAGTGGAAAGGATGCAAATAGGATTTCTCCTGCACCTCCTGCTGAAGAAGCAGAGCAATTCACTATCAAGAATGAAACACTCGTTTTCTCTTAAAAATTTGCTTTGCAAGATGGATGCAAAGAAGGAAATAAGAAAATATACGGAGATTTGACTTCAACAGTCAATTCTCTTATCAACTCTTACTTCGAAATGAATGGAAGTTGCTGGTGCTGACTTCTGCCCATTCACAACAGCATTCAACTCATTTCCCTTTGTCCAGCCTCACGGCTTCAGACACAAGATTTTCCTACAATGAAACCTTCATAGCCTCACTTTCTGGAATAATTCTGATTTTCCTAGCAATTAAATCAGGAATGAAGCAAAACCACTTGGCAGGAGTCATCTCAGAGGAAATATTAATTAATTCAAAGGAAGCCCTAATGCAACTATTGTAAATTCTGTATCTGAATATTTCAGTGATCCTTTGCTGTTACATAGAGTTTCTCATAAGATCTGTCTTGTGAGCATTGCTTTTAACACTGGAGGCAGCAGTTTAATGCTGCAGCATTCAATATAACAATAAATTATTACTGTTTAACTTCATGTCACACAATAAAACATTGTTAGTCATCATTATTGCCACCATTTTTCCCCTTTCATTTCTTCATGATTTCTGGCAATCTGAGCACAAAATAACATTCTAAGTATCAGAGACTCATATAGAGAGTAAGAAACCTCAAACTGACCTCGAAGATCAATTCAACACCAATTCCAGACAGATAAGGAAGTGGAAGCTGGTGTCTGGAGGCATGCCTGGATAGAAGGGTAAACTTACGTGAGTCTTTTACCTCCATTTCCTGTTCTTTTCCTGGGATTCGCTCAATTTTCTCACTCCCCATGTGGATCTTCCTGAGTCTATATTGGATATTCACTTGACAAACCCTGTTTACTAGGCAAAATACTGAGGACTCAAAGATGAATGCAAAATAGTTTCTAAAGGACAGGGAGTCTTGAGAAATATTGGACAATTAATTGTCTCACAATGTGATTGCAATTCATATGTCCAAGCCTGACATGGAACAAGACAGAAGGGACTAGCAAGTCTGCTAGACAAGCAAAATGAAGATGTGACAGAGTGGAGGTACCACTTGAATACTGACAACACAGACCAGAGAGTCATCCATACAATCATCATCATGAGTGGCAAAAAGATAGCTTACAGCAAGTCCGGGAGCAGTGGCTCATGCCTGTAATCCCAGCACTTTGGGAGGCCAAGGTAAGCTCATCACTTGAGGTCAGGAGTTTGAGACCAGCCTGGCCAACATAGTGAAACCCCGTCTCTACTAAAAATACAAAAATTAGCCAGAAACTCTGGCGGGCCCCTGTAATCCCAGCAACTCTGGAAGCTGAGGAACGAAAATTGCTTGAACCCGGGAGGCAGAGGTTGCAGTGAGCCAAGAGCACACCGCGGCACTCCAGCCTGGGTGACAGAGTGAGACTCTGTCTCAAAAATAAAAAGAAAGAAAAAAAATGATAGCTCAGCAAAATGATACCTTAGGGAAGAATACGAATCCTAAGCTTATTTGTCAAAATGTCACCTTCTATTGTTAGGAGAAAGATGGTGTTATATTCAGAACCACCCAGTCCCTTGGTAGGAAACGTTGCTTACTCGAAAGTTTCTTCATTTCTGTACCTTTCACTTTCTAATGATAAGAATCACCTTGAGGTAAGAATCCGAATCTCCAGACAGCAATGCTTCTGGGCTTTTGTATAATCAGGCAAGTTTGGGAAACCGCATCATTCTACTTCATCTGCATCTTATGAGATGGATTTTATACTTTCGGGTAGTGAATGTGGGGACTGTGCGGAAAGGGAAAGGTAATTGTGAGTACCATGACTGGCGATCCAGTCTTTGGTTCAGTTCCCAGATGGGGCAGTTCAAAAGGATCTGTCAAGTACATCATTCAACCTTAGATCAGTGACATAAACCAAGGAGACCCTATTTGATTCTATTGTAACAGAGCTTCAAACAGAAGAGATGTTTAAAAGAAGAGCACGGCCTTGTTCAGGGTCATCATTAGAAAAAGAAAGGAGAGATTCTCACCTTACATTCACCAGCACACAAAAGAGCAAAGATCTCTCTTAGAAGGTATTTCCTTTAAGAGATGAATCAGAAGAAAATAACTGGTGATTTCAATTACTCACTGTGTTCTTTCTTCCTCTGCTCACCTTCTTCAGTTATCACCTTTAAAAAAACACTGCTGGTTTCTCAGTTCTCCTTCCATTCTCCCCTTCTCTCCTTTCCTTTGACTTTCTTCTCTTAGCTCTTTCTTCTCTGACATTTTTTTCTAGCCTGTCCTTTGACTCTTGAGCCCTTGAAGTTCCTCAAGCATTTCTGTTTGTGTTGACAATCATTTCTCTCTTTTTCTTTCTTTCAAGATCCAAGGGTCTTACTTAGGTTTTTCTTTTCCCCCACTTAGATAAATACACTCTTAATGATTTCTAGCAAGATTTTTTAAAACTAACAATCAAATAGCTACCATTTATTCAGCACCTGTTTTATTCCAAGCAACAGTATGGGGTTTGCAAATATTAGTTCCTTTAATCCTTACAATAGCTCTCTGACATAGAATTGTCAGTTCCATTGAACAGAGGAGAAAACCTAGACTCAGAGAAGTTGAATTTGCCTAAAGTGCCATAACTAGAAAGTTAAAGAGATTTGGCCATGTCCATATCCAAAGGAGCCCAGAGCTTTCTAGCAACCTAGAGGCTGAGACTGCAACTAATAAACCTAGTAAAATATAAGATCATTGTTCTTTATGATGTAATGATTTGGTGATTCTTTAAAAAAGGTCATATTATTAATATCCATGAATGATGTTGGTCTCAATTACTCTTGAATTGAGGGGAACTGAAGGGGAACTTTCATTTTCCCCTTCAGCTTCTTGGTGTTGATGAGAAAGCTTCAGGGAATCTATCTAGGGAACACACACACAACTAACTATGACCTCCTGGATGTAATGCCTCACTTGTGTTTGACTTGATGGTGATTCTAATTGTGGACTAGTCAGGAACTGAATGTGTGGTTCTGGCTGGAATTCATTATGCAGTGCAACAACACAGAACTAGGAAAAAACAAAATACATGGATTCTCTTCTCAGTTTTACCACCTACCAGCTGAGTGATGCTGGGTCTGAATTTGCTTACTGGTAAAACCAAAGTTTTGGACAGATGGTCTCAAAAGTCTTGTCTAGTTCTCATAATCTGTTTAATAAGCTTTTCCTGGACTCTCAAATTAATCTGCTCAGGCAGCTAAACTGTGAACATGCCCAGAGCTAATCATGATCTATTGTGCCTCTATACTAACAGCGAACCTTGGGAAAAAGGAGAATGAATGATATGTGTGCATGAAAGTGGGAAGATGTTTGGGGTTCCACCACACTGCTCATATCATTGGGCCCTTGTCTTCCTAAGGTACTTAGTAGAGAGATCATAAGCTTTTCTATTATCATGGCAATTGGCAGACACTTAAGTATAATTCTCACTCTGATTCATGGAGGATGTTTTAATTACACCAAAGATGTTGCAGCAGTAAGCTGTATTTAATAAGTTGCTAGTTAATAGATGTTCCGTGACTGTGTGGTTAAACAGACGTTATTGTCTTTTGCTGCATTGGTTTTTTATTGCTGCCTTGACAAATTATTACAAATGTAGTGCCTTAAAACAACATGAATTTATTATCTTACGGTTCTGCAGCAGTCTGAAACAGGTTGCACAGAGCTAAAATAAAGGTACTGTCAGGGTTGAACTCCTTTCTGAGGGCTTTTGGGTAGTATTATTTGCCATTTCCAGCTTCTAAAGGTTGTCCCCTTCCGTGGCTATTGAAATTCAGGCCTCCTTCTTCAAAGTCAGCAATGGTGTGTTGAGTCCTGTTCGCATTACGTCACTCTCACTTCTCTTGTGTCACCCTCTTCCACTTTTAAGGAAACTTGTAATTACAAGGGGCCCACCGAGATCATCCAGGATTATCTATTTTAAGGTCAACTGATTAGTAATAATATGGTTTGATTATGCCCCCTCTTAAATTCAGGTGTTGCCAACCTAGTAGTTTTAAGAGATAGAGCCTTTAAGAGGTAATTAGGCCATGAGGGCTGCTCCCTCACGAATGCGATTAAGGCCTCTATAAAAGAGGCTTGGCAGTGTTTGGTAGCTTGCTCTTTTGTTCTTCTGCCAGGTGAGAACATACTGTTCCTTTCCCCTCCCCTCTGAAGATGCAGTACTCACCAGATGATGGAACCTGCTGGCACTTTGATCTTGGACTTCCTAGGCTCCAGAACAGAAAACAAATTTCTGTTCTTTATACATACCCAGTCTCAGGCATTTTGTTATAGCAGCACAAATGGACTAAAATAGTAACTTTAATTCTACCTGCAATGTTAATTGCCCTTAATCATGTTACAGAGCATACTGACAGGTTTCGGGGATGAGGGTGAGGACTTCTTTGAGGAGGGTCATGGTTCTGCCTACCAAATTCCAAGTTTTTTCTCTGGGTTTCAATTTTTGATATGAATCTACATTCACCTATATATATATTCATATAGATATAATCATAGTACTTTATGAATATATAGTGGGATAATTTATTAGATATGGCATCAATCTCTATCAGAAGCTTTTACAAACTCACAGTGTAAACAGACATTAACATAGGGGTGAAGGATCATTCCTTTCATAGCTAATTAAGCTGATTTGATCAATAAGTTTTTTAAAAAGAAGCACTTATACATATTTCAAAAGAGCCTTCAGGTTGTCTTTATAGGAAAAAGATGCTGATATTTTTTAACACAGTAGGGTTAAGACCATCTTGGGACCACCTCTGAAATTCACAAGATTTACTCTTTTACTAGAATATCAATCAACAGTCTACTAAAGACTACATATTTTACCAGTTACCTGCAAGAATTTCAGTATGTTACTTTGTGAATTTTTTAACATAGCACTGAATGTGAACACAAATAAAACTCAGTAGTATTGCTATTATTCAGTGTTATGAATAAGGGAACTGACTAACAATAAAAAAATCAAGAATGATTAACTCTAACTCTTAATGGCTTTAGAGCAGCTGGAGCCAAAAAATCAATTTACAAAAGTCAAAGAATGTCAATATGCTTATTTTCCCCATGAAAATTCTCTAGGAGTTTTGCTGGGTTTCTTATTGCTCTTGTCTTTCAAATGCCAAGTGAGAAATAGCTATCATTTTTATCTTCATGTCAGGTAAACTGAAAGCAAATGGCAAAATGGGAAACAAATGTCTAATAGTACTTAGAAAACTACTATGTATTATTTTTGTATATGCCTACATTTGAGACTAAAAATAGATCCCAATTGTTTTCTCCGATAAATTTCAGAATTTTTTTTTTTCTTTTAAGACTGAGTCACACTCTGTTGCGCAATCTCGGCTCACTGCGACCTCCGCCTCCTGGGTTCAAGCGATACTCCTGCCTCAGCCTCCTGAGTAGCTGGGATTACAGGCACGCACCACCACTCCTGGCTAATTTGTTGTTGTTGTTGTTGTTGTTGTATTTTTAGTAGAGACAGGGTTTCACCATGTTGGTCAGGCTGGTCTTGAACTCCTGACCTCATGATCTGCCCATCTCGGGCAAAGTACTGGGATTACAGGCGTGAGCCACTGCGGCTGGCCAAAACTTTAGCATTTTAAACACAACATGTAACTAAATTTTAATAAGATAATTATTTTGTTTTCAAGGGCCTTTAAAATCATATTTACAGAGATGAATAAAGGAAGAAAAAGAAAACTGAGTAAAGTATTCTTAATTTGATTTTGACAAAAGTCTATGTACAACAGAATAGCCCAGTTCCATTTTTTTTAAAAAGGGAGTAAATTATGTATGCATTTTCAACAACTCTAATCATTAGTTCTAGTCTTTCCTTGCTGCTTTCTTCTATATATTTTTAATTGTGAATATTTTATTAAAATAGTCATATTACCAAAGAGATCTCTGTAACATCAACTCTCACATCTGAAGAAGGCAGGACAACACATATTTTATGAGCTCATCATATTAAGAAACCTAATTTAAGGCACTGATTCCAACTGTATGGGCTTTTCTTCAAGAAATCAGTGTGAGTCCAGAAATGCCAGACTATCAGATTCATGTCTTTACTGTAATCTCAGGCTGAATTCACTTGCCTCTATGCTACCTGAGCCTTCCTGAGATGATGTGCCTATGTGCACAGAGTCATATAATCAAAATACATTTTAACTGACTTCCATATGGTTGCCAGTTGGCCACAAAATAAAACTGCATGTAGTTATATGCACAAGCTGTCTGGATGCTATAAAAAGAAAATTTTGACCAGCATGATTAAATCAGCATGTATGTTAAAATATAATGGCTACATTCAAAGAACAAATTGTGTCTCTCCCATGAGCAAAATCTGGAAAAATTAGAGACACAGGCAAGATTCCACAGGTGTTTACAGACCAAATATGTCTAAAGCAGTCATCTGTTTGTTATATGCACACACAACGTTTGTACTTTTTCCTTCTCAACTCTATTTTTCTTCATATAATTCTGTATCCTAAGAGAGTAGTCAAGTCAGCCTATTTGGCAGAATTAGTGGCACATCAAGAATGGCTCTCTATAGTGGGATAACATTAAGTTTCCAGATGAATTTCCACTGCTCAAAAGAAACCCTGGGTGGAACAGAAATAGAAGCATGTAATTTGTCATACAAAGTGGCCATGTTTGAATTCACCCAAGGGTTTTATGATATCCCATCACTTTTTTAAATAAATTATTATTAATGATAATACATTTATAATTTGTGCACATTAATGACAAATATAATAAAAACATCAAGAGTTATAATATACTCCTAAGTCATCTTTCTCTTCCAGACAATATTTATAAGCCTTGCAAATATCCACAGGATAGGCTTGACTGCCATTTTATAGATCATAAGATACTCAAGGGATTTAAAAAAAACTATTCAACTGCTATAGTACTGTAGTCACTGATATGGTTTAGCTGTGTCCCCACCCAAATCTCATCTTGAATTGTAGCTCCCACAATTCCCATGTGTTGTGGGAGACACCTGGTGGGAGGTAATTGAATCATGGTGGCGGGTCTTTGCCATGCTATTCTTGTGATAGTGAGTAAGTCTCACGAGATCTGATGGTTTCATAAAGGGGAGTTTCCCTGCACAAGTTCTCTTCTCTTGTCTGCTGCCATGTGAGAGGTGCCTTCCACCTTCTGCCATGATTGTGAGGCCTCTCTAGCCATGCGGAACTGTGAGTCCATTAAGCCTCTTTCTTTTGTAAATTGCCCAGTGTCAGGTATATCTTTATCAGCAGCGTGAAAACGAACTAATACAGTCATGCTCTACATAATGACATTTTGGTCACTGATGGATTGCCTATATGATGTGGACCTATAAGGTTATAACAGAGCTAAAAAATTTCTATCACTTAGTGACATCATAGCCCTCATAATGTCACAGTATTACTCATGTGTCTGCGGTGATGCTAGCGTAAACATACCTACTGCACTACCACTTGTATGAGTCTAGCACATGCAATTATATGGAGTACATATTACCTGATAATGATTAGAAAAACTGTTATTCGCTTATGTATTTACTATACTGCACTTTTATTGTTATTTTAGAGTGTACTGCTTCTACATGTATTTTTTATTAAAAAAAAAAAAAGTTAACTGTGAAACAGCCTCAGGCAGGTCCTTCAGGAGGAATTCCAGAAGAAGGCATTGTTATAGGAGATGACAGCTTCGTGCTTGTTATTTACCCTGAAGACCTTCCAGTAGGACAAGATGTGGAGGTGGAAGACAGTGATACTGACAATCCTGACCCTGTGTGGGCCTAGGCTAATGTGTGTGTTTGTGTCTTTGTTTTTAACAAAATTTTAAAAATTATATTAAAAAATTTAAAAATTCAAAAAAGTTTGTAGAATGAGGATAAAAAGAAATTATTTTTATACAGCTGTACAATGTGTTTGTATTTCAAGCTATTATTGAAAAAGAGTCAAAAAGTTTTGAAAAATTAAAACATTTATTAAGTCAGAAAGTTACAGTAAGCTAACATTAATTTATTATTGAAGAAAGAAGATTTTTCTATAAATATAGGTAGCCTAAATATAGTGTTTATAAAGTCTACAGTAGTGTACAGTAATGTCTTAGGCCTTCACACTCTCTCACCACTCACTCACTGACCCACCCAGAGCAACACGCAGTCCTGCAAGCTCCATTCATGGGAAGTGCCTTATATAGGTGTACTTTAAATAAAATCTTTTATACCATATTTTACTGTGCCTTTTCTAGGTTTTGATAGTTTAGATAAACAAATACCACTGTATTAACAATTGCCTACAGTATTAAGTACAGTAACATGCCGTACAGATTTGTAGCCTAGGAGTAAGAGGCTAGACCACATAAGCCTAGTATGTAGTATGTCTGTAGTATGTTTTGCCATCAGGGTTCATGTAAGTGCACTCTGTGATGTTCACACAAGTACAAAATAGTCTAATAATGCATTTATCAAAGTATCCCTGTCGTTAAGCACCACATGTCTATATTTGGAATCCAGAATCGTCTAGTTCCAGAGACTATTTGGACTACAACAGTAATTTTAAAATGTTTTCCTCTTTTAGCAGGTGAATTCTTTGGATAAAATCCTCCCTGTAAGCCTGGTATAATCAACAGATAAAGGAGGGGCATGTCTGAGACAAGTCAGGGTGGGAGATGCCCTGCGCCTCCAACCCTACCTCCTTTGCTCGCTCCTCATCTCCTCTCTACAGCTCTGCAGCAGCCTCGGTGCATCTCTCCTGAGACTTAGGTCTCAAAACAACAACAAATTAAGAAGCTTGAAAAAACACTGCATTGCATCAAGCTGCCATATTCTCACCTTCAGCAAAATTTCCATATGGCTCCCCAAGAGGAGGTTCTAGAAAGCCACTAGGAATGTAAATGAGTACAACCACAATGAAGAGCAGTTTGGGATTTCCCCAAAAAACTAAATACAGAGCTACCATATGATCCAGCAATCCCACTGCTGGGTATATTCCCAAAAGAAAGGAAATCAGCATGTCAAAGAGATACCTGCACATCCATGTTTGTTGCAGCACTGTTCACAATAGCCAATATTTGGAAGCAACCTAAGTATCCATCAACACATGAATGGACAAAGAAATTGTGGTACATATAAACAATGGAGTACTATTTATTCATGAAAACAATGAGATCCTGTTATTTGCAACAATATGGATGGAACTGTGGTCATCATGTTAAGTGAAATAAGCCAGGAACAGAAAGACAAACATTGTGTATTCTTACTCATTTACTGAATGTAAAAATCAAAACAACTGAACCCATGGAGATAGAGAATGGAAGGATGGTTACCAGAGGATAGGAAGGGTACTGGGGGATCAGGGAGAGGTAGAGATGGTTAAAGGGTACAAAAAATAATTAGAAGACCTAGCATTTAATAGCATGACAGTGTGACTATAGCCAAAATAATGTATTTGTACATTTTAAAATAACTTAAAAAACATAATTGAATTGTTTGTAACACAAAGGATAAATGCTTGAGGAGATGGATACCCCATTTTCCATGATGTGATTATTATGCATTGCATGCCTTTATCAAAATATCTCACATACCCCATAAATATAGACACCTACTGTGTACCTACAAAAATTAGAAATTAAAAATTAAAAAAAAACTTAGAAAGCCACCAAGACATTGTAATTGTGGATGAAGTTCCAGTGAGCATGGAGGGCATTCAATGCTATTACTCCCACTAATATTCGATACTATTACTGAATATACAGAAACTGAAGCCCAGAAACACCCAGCTGGATTCGATGGCAGGGCTTGAATCCAGGTCCTGTGACATTCAATCCAATGTCCTTGGTATACCTGGAAGACTGATGGGTATGATCAATGGCCTTCCTGATGGGTCAGGTGCCCCTAACAGGGAGCACAGAGATAATGCACATCAATTCTTTTCTATCATGGCACTTGGCACAATTTGTAATCATTTACTTATCAGTGTGTTTGTTTATATTTTGTCTCCTTCTCCAGACTGTAAATTCCTTGAGGACAGAAACAGTGGCACTTTTACTTTTGTATTACTTAGCACCTAACATACAAAAGTCTTCAATTAGGCTGGGATCAGTGGCTTACACCTGTAATCCCAGCACTCTGGGATGCCAAGGAGGGAGGAAAGCTTGAGCCCAGGAGTTCAAGACCAGCCTGGGCAACATAGCAAAACCCCAACTCTACAAAACATACAAAAATTAGCCAGATGTGGTGGCACACGCCTGTAGTCCCAGCTACTTGGGAGGCTGAGGTAGGAGGATCACCTGAGCCTGAGAGGTCGAGGCTACAATGAGTCGAAATTGTTCCGCTGCATTCCATCCTGGGCAACAGAGTGAGACTCTGTCTCAAAAGAAAAAGTCTTCAATTATTCTTTTGTATTGTTAAAAGTGTATTTGAAAGCAAGAATCACTTTATCTCCAACTCTTCTTATGAAAGGAAAACATTCCAACTAGATCCAGCAGCCAGATTTACCCTCCGACGAAGCCTGCTAAACTGCTCAAGTCTAAATGCAAAGCCCTTCTCTAAAAAAGCCCTACAAACATCATATAGTGAACTGAAAAGCATATTTCAACTGAAAATTGATTTCACCTGCTTTCCATCACAAGAAAGCCTCAACAGATTATATCTGGTCTAGTTACATATTAGTACAAATTATAAAAAATTCAAAATCTCGGTACAGTTGGGAAGGAAAGATGCACAATAGGGCATTTCCTAATTTCTATAACTATAAGGGAAAATCTTTAGAGTTTGTGGGGTTTTAGTTTGTTTTGTTATAATTTACCTTCCACATTAAACGCAACTAGCGTGCTATTTCTTTAGACATACTTCAACTTTGCATCTGCCCCAAACATCACATTTGTTGTTGCCTTGATGACGAATTAAACTTATGATTTAAAATCAATAACTGAAAAGCTCACTTCAGCTAAACTATTTGTAGATACAATAAAAGAAAACAACACAGTCTAGGTCATATTTCTTTCCTGCTCCAAATATGCTTTTACTAAAAAAAAAAAAAAAAAAAAATCTGCTTTCTATAAACAAGAAGGTATGAAAAAGACTGCTGGCCTCCTTCTCGTTCTTTAAGGAACAAGCTTTTCCTTTTTATTCCTCATAGTTGTTTCCTATGTTTTGAGCAACGCTGCTTTGTGTGCATGCAAGGCATAAGGAGTCCTGAGTGGAAGATTGCCTTGAAACTCTTCCACTGAGATTGTGAGCCCCAGGTACTGAAACCTGGGGAAAGTGTGAGTCTGGAGAGGGGCTCAGAATCACTTACATCCCAGACAAAAGGCCAAGTAAATCAGATGAATAAAAACGAAATTCTAAATGCTTCTGATTATTTTCAGTTTCTATTTATGCTGCTGCACTTAATGTAGACCAAAATAGGTTGGTTACATGTAGTTACATATTCTATTTGGGGTATAATTTAATAGTCAGAAATGAGATGCCGGAAAATGCCTAGGAAAAAAAAAGCAATATGGGAATAAATACAAATTTTGGCACTAATAAGCAGACCTGTCCTTTGCATTGCTTATTATGTCCCTAAAATATGCCATTTATAATCATTTGATGCAATTACAGAGTATTTCTTGTGGTGATAAGCTCAAAATACCATGGCGCATTATTATTTCTTTCAGATTCCCTGAAGTTTTTATGACTGAGATGCAGCGTCATCAGATATCACGAACAACCAAGCAACTGCAGCATCTCTGACATCGCCTACTTTGACAGTTTCTGGATTTAGAATACATTTTATCAATTATTCAGGTTCCTTTGTTCTCCCGTCAATGGCCAATTGCCTTTTAGCTTTTAGCATTGTCATTAGAAAATAAAAAAGGACGCAAATTTGCTCCACTTTCTTATATTTAATAAAAATGGCTTTATTGTGTGTGTGTCTAAAGCCATGAACTGTCTGTAAATACATTAAAAAAAAAGACTTTCCCATTTTATAAAAAAAAAAAGTATTGTGCTGTATAATGAGAAGAGCATGGAATTTGGAACCAGAAGACCACGGGGTCTGGAGACAGACTTGGCTTGCTCTGCCAATTACTAAGCCCAAAGCAACACATTTAACTGATAAGAATTTCAGCTTCTTCATCAGTAACAAGGTTTATAACTATTAGCCTCAGGCATTGTTGTGATGATCAAATCAAAGGAGTTAATTACGTGAAAGTGCTTTATGTATTGTAAAGTGCAATATAAATGTTGTCTTGAGTTTACTACCACTTAACAATCCTGCCCACAGTTAAGAAATCTCTCAGTACACTTTGGGTTCTATCATCACAGTTTTTGTTTTGTTTTGTTTTGTTTTGTTTTTTAAGACTTTAAAGGATAAAGTAAAGGCAGAAAGGAGGAAGAAGAGAGGAGGCAGAGGGAAGGAGGAAAAGAGGGGGAAGGGGAAGAGGGGAGGAATAAAGAGGGAGGAGAAGAGCTGGAAGAAGGGTAGAAAGAGAAATTGACCTAAGCCCTTCTCATTCACAGACTCAACCTCGTCACCCCCAGCTATCCTTCCCTTGTACTCCAATCCCACTTGCCTACTACATATACTCTGTTAGCCCCTCCAGTCCATGTTCCCCCCTCCACCTTCATCCACTGAGTTCTAACACAAATATTTACTATGGTAGCAGGTTGTTTCTTTCTGCAACTATGTACAGTTGAAAAATCTCTCAGTACAACTTCATGCTTTTTATCAGTTCTGCTAAGATTTAACCACAATCTTCCCGCTCTATAGCCCAGCTCTAAATAAGCCAAGCAAACCTTGTCATCATTTCTCTTGAGCCTTTGAGGTCCTGGCTGGCCTGTGATCAAGGTTCTTCAACAACTGGTGTAAAGCTTTGGACCTCAGACTCTCACCTTCCAATCTTCAAATTGTTTCAGTGTCTCATCTTTCCATCCAAAATGTTTTCCTCCATTCCTGCCATCCTTCCTATTCTTCTTAAGTCCTTCTTGCCCTAGGGTGAAGTCATTCATCTCCATCTTCGATCAGATGGTGATTCCTAGGTTTTATATCCAGGGCATGTTCTTTGCTAGACCTGCACATTCAAACCAACTTCCTTAGATGGTCACCATATACTTTAGAATACATGAGATGCCACACTTGTGAAGTCCTAATTAGAGAAAAGGAGTCAGGTTGTTGGGAGCAGGAGAAACCAAAAAGAAAAAGCAGATAAGCTACAAGTCTGCCTTTCTTCATGGTCCAGGACACATAGCCCTTCTGTGCAAATTACTAACAATCTTCTCATGCCCAACTTACTATCAGACCCTCAGACAATAGAAAACTGCAAGTTAGCTTACTACAACTTTGGCATTATCAGTAAAGCACATAGCCCTCCCCAGCACAAGCGCCATCCCATAAAATCCCCAGCAAGCCTTTGTCTCCTTGCAGTCAGCTCCTATCTTGCTGATTTGCCCATTGCACCCTTGCAACGTATTTTCATGCTTTCTCTAATCAATATGGCTTTCTTTCCTCACAACTGTCTGGGTAAATTCTCTTTACTCCTGTGCCACTGGCCCCAGATAGATGCTACCAGTGACAACAATTGTATATTTAAAATGCAATTCCTGCTCACTGCCTTTACAAATGTGAAAACTGAGGGTTAAAGAGGTCCTATGGCTACCCATGGTTATGTGGAAGGTCAGTGCTAAACACCTGCAACAGGCTCCAGGCTCCAGGGTTTTGTGCCCCAGTGCTATGTGTTTTTACCTCATCATCTTCTGCAACAATTTTAACATGTTTTGTTCCTGCTGGTCAAACTCCAGGTGCCCTTCTTCCTCAGTTAGCATCAGACAAGATGCAAATTTGGGATGGTTACACTGGTGAAAGGCTTGGAAGAAAAAACTGAGAGTTACAAAAGCCAGGCAGTTTAAAATAGAACCCTCTGTGAAACATTTTACACTAAAAGTGGTCCCTGGCACTAAATTAAAGTATTAAAATGTCAGACAATTTAATGGAGTCATATTTCACCTAATAGAGTCAAGGCTTCAAACACTTCCAGGAAACAAGAACTAACAATAAACCTGATGAGCTTAACACTCTGGGATTTCTTGTATCCTGTCAGAATCATCCATTACCAAGCCGTTATTTCTGAGACCTTGTTTAACAGCCACATATATCTAACAGGAGAATCCAAAGGACAAAACCAAAACTTGCGTGCCAGGCACATCATATGCCAGCCTTCTGTGGCTGTTCCTTTGGCCAGAGTGTGTGTCTTTTACTTTGATGTACAACTTAAACTCATTACTCTCTGCAACTATCCTGTCCAGATCACAAATGTGACCTCCATTGCCAAATGCAATGGAAGTTCTTCTTTCTTCTCTTTAATTAAACACTTTCTCTAGCCTGAAATGCCTTTATGACATCAGGCCCTCTTGGTTTCTTCCCACCGTACTGATTGCTTTTTCTGTCTTTGTTGGTTTCTTTCTCTGGCAACTCTTAATACTGGAATTCCCCAAGGCTTGGTTTTGATCCCTCTTATCTTCTCTATCTATAATCTTTACATGGAGGATCTCATCTGGCCAACTGGCTTTAATTAAACCTATATTCCAATGTCTTCTAAATTTATATCTCCAGCCCTGACCTCTTCCTTGAGTTCCAGACTTTTCTAGGCAATTCTTTTCATCTTCAATTGGAAGCATAATAGATTTTAAATTAATAACATTTTCACCTTTTTCCAAAAATACCACATAAAATATTCCCCAAATATTTGCTGTCTCATATTGTCTTACCCCCATTTATTCAGTTACTTAAGCCACAAACAGGTGTTACCCTTAGTTACTTTCCTTGCTTCCTTAACTGCATCTATTTGGTGAGTTCTGTTGACTCTGTTTCTAAAATAGATTCTAACTTCTCCTCATCTTTTGTACTCATCCCCTGGTTCCCCTCTAATCTAACCCAATGTCATCTCTTTCCTGGAATTATTTGGGAAATGCAAATCAAAACCACAATGAGGTATTATCTTACCCTAGTTAGTATGGTTATTATCAAAAAGACAAAAAAAATTTTACAAATGCTGACAAAGATGCCGAGAAAATGGAACTTTTATACGCTGTTGAATGGAAATTTGCATAGCCATTAAGGAAAACAGTCTGGAGACTCCTCAAAGAACTAAAAATAGAACTACCATATGATCCAGCAATCTCAATTTGGGGACTGATCCAAAGAAAAGGAAAAAAGCACATCAAAGGGATAACTTCACACCTATGTTTATTGTTGCACTAATCACAATAACAGTATATGAAAGTAACCTAAATATCCATCAATGAGTAAATGGATAAAGAAA
Organism: Homo sapiens; assembly: GCF_000001405.40. Classification (NCBI taxonomy): domain Eukaryota; kingdom Metazoa; phylum Chordata; class Mammalia; order Primates; family Hominidae; genus Homo; species Homo sapiens. The sequence continues at coordinate 32,097,225 of NC_000008.11, read as the reverse complement.
ATGTGGTAAATGTGTACAACAGAATATTATTTAGCCACAAGAAAGAATGAAATCCTGTCATTTGCAGCAACATAGATGGAATTGGAGGTCATTATGTTACATGAAATAAGCCTGACACAAAAGCACAAATATTGCATGTTCTCATTCATATGTGGAAGCTGAAAAGTGAATCTTATGAAGATAAAGAGTAGAAATATAGTACTGAAGGCAGGGAAGGATGAGGGAGTGAGGAATGAAGACAGTTTGGTTAATGTGCAAAAACATACAGTTAGATAGAAGGAATAAATAAGTCCTAGTGTGCAACAGCACATTCGAGTGACTATAGTGCTACAGTTTGGATGTTTGCCTCTATACACCTCATGTTGAAATTTGATTCCCAGTGTTGAAGGTGGGGCTTAATGGAAGGTGTTTGGGTCATAGATGTGAAACCTTCATAAATAGATTAATGCCTTACCCAGGGAGTGGGGAGATCGGGAGTGAGTTAATTCCTCTTGCAGAAACTAAGAGTGAGTTCTTCCTCTGCTAGTTTCCTCCTGTTCCCTTCTTGTTTCCTCTCTCACCATGTAATCTCTGCACATACGGGCTCTCTATACCTTCCTCCATGAGGGGAAGTGGCCTGTGGCCTTCACCAAATACAGATGCCCAATTTTGAATTTTTCCAGACATCACAAACGTGAACCAAATAAATATTTTTCTTTATAAATTAATTTTATAACAACACAAACAGCCTAAGACATATAATTAACAATAATATATTTTATATTTCCAGATAGCTAGAAGAACAGATCTGAAATGTTCCCAACACAAAGAAATGATAATGTTTGAGGTGACAGATATGTTAAGTGTGTGATTTGATCATTACACATTGTATGTGTATATCAAAATATCACATGTATCCCATAAATATGTATAGTTATTATGTATCAACGAAAAATTTTTAAAATAGCCACATCTGGTCTCCTTGCTTCTTCTGGTATCTTCTTACAGAACAACCATTGTAATCTTTTGAAACTATAAATCATATCATACCACTTTTTGCTTAATGCTACGTGTTGGTTTCCTCCTGGTGTTCAAATACAATGCAAACTCCTTTCACTACCACCCCTCCTAGCCCTTGCATCATAGACTCTGGCTACCACAGCTGGAATCATTCACACCTGAGCATTTGTGCTTGCTATTCCCTCTGCCTGAAATACTGTTCCCTGCATGGTTGGCTTCTTCTTGTTACTCAGATCTCCAAGCTCAAAGTCTCCTTCTCAGAGAGGCCTTTTCTGGAGATTCAAACTACATAGCCTCAGCCACTTTCTATCACATTACCTTCTTATTATTTTATATTCCTCAGGCTTCTATATCTTTTATTTCCTCCCATTCAGTGAAGAAGAAGGTTCAGGGTCTATAATAATATTTTTCCTTCTTTAAAAACAAAAGATGAAAATTACTTTCTATTTTTTATCTGTACTGAGTCGATATTTGTATAAATGTTGATATTACTATATCCAAGACATAATAGCATGCACAACAATTAATTCATTCGGTTTTGGTGTTCTTTGCCCAGAACAGAGATATAAATAGCAGATATCAGGACAGTCATAAGGCATAGAGTTATTTATTCTTTCCCAAATTCCCCTAAAATACATCTAATCAGCTAGATGTTATTCTTTTCATATGGACAATTAAAAAGATGGTCTATAAATGTTTGCTATGTGTCATGTTTTCTGACTTTACTCCAAGCCAGTGCTTCTTGCCAAAATCATTGTGAAAAGAATTTAGATTCATTTCAATAATTAATATCATGTAGATAAAATATCCAAATGGATGAATTTTTTATATTTATGCTAATATTTGGAGTTACACAGGCATAGATTCAGAGGATATGGGAAACTCTGCTTGACGAGATGATGAGAGGTTGTCAATGAGCCCAGTCTTCACTCTCAATCCCACCTACACAGTCTCTGCTCATGTTATCTTATATTGAAAACAATGAACCCATAACTGACATCAAAAAATGCTGAAAATGGCACGGCGCAGAGGCTCACGCCTGTAATCCCAGCACTTTGGGAGGCGGAGGCAGGTGGATCACGAGGTCAGGAGATTAAGACCATCCTGGCCAACATGGTGAAACCCTGTCTCTACTAAAAATACAAAAATTAGCTGGGCATGATGGCGTGTGCCTGTAATCCCAGCTACTTGGGAGGCTAAGGCAGGAGAATCGCTTGAACCAGGGAGACAGAGGTTGCAGTGAGCCGAGATCACGCCAGTGCACTCCAGCCTGGCGACAGAGCGAGACCCCATCTCAAAAAAAAAAAAAAAAATGCTGAAATTAAAAATAAAGTTCAGAAAGCAAGTTTATAAGTAAATGGAATCCTGGGCTATTTTTTTTTTCTTTTTAAGTAATTGTGGTTTGGGTTGGTGCCAGAAACGATTTATTAAAAAATAAACTTTTGCGGGGAGGGTAGAAGGACAAAAAAGAAACACTTTGTCAAGGTGTTAGTTCTGAGGTGACAGAACCAAAGGATAGGGTGGGAGACAAACAATGGACTTGAATTTTCAGGAATAATTTCAGAAATTAGGATAAAACACATACTTGTTTCACTATAGAACTCATTATATCCCTCTTAGCAAAGTAATTTCAAATTGGGAAATAAGCAAATCTTTTCTTAGGGAGGAGTATTAAACCTTATTATTCTCATTGTTAAATTCAAACAACCAGGAAAATATACGACAGCTTGGGAACAACATACAAGCTATATTATCATTTCAAGTGATAACTTGGTGGAAAGATAACAAGGTCCTTGTCAAAATAAGGTGCCATGCTGGGCAGGAGCACTGCATGTCACAAAAGCCTGGGCAAAAGTGGTATTTGGTAATGGGGCTGCCCCTCCTTTGCTCTAAGGAAGTCACAGCTCATCCTAGCCAAGTCGCTTACTTCTTCTTCTTTGACCTTGCTGTTGGCAGGGTATTATCTCAATAGGGTTCTGTTAATTCAGGGGCTACGTAAGCAATGCTGGGTTTGGGCTTTCATTCCATTCTGTTCTATGAAAGCCGGGTTTTTCCAAATTCAGCACTTCACAACTCTCATAATTATGTAGCCAACGGTTCCTCTTTCACTGTTTATTCCTGGATACAGGTATATATCAGAACCAAATCCAAACACAAACCCCCTATCTCTTTAAGTGGAAAATATTTCTGCTAGATTGTCCTGCCACTCTGCTGCAGACATCCTCAGGAACCATCAGCCAATAAGAGGGAAGCTCTGCTTTCAAACCTAAATGTGAAGTCACCGCTCATGTTTTTGCATCATATCCAGGCTGAAAGATGCAGTGAGTAAGAATTTCAAGAGAGGTACATCCACATCTTGATGACCAGGAAAGGATACCCATAAGCAACCTTTCAAAGATCTTATCCAAACTACTCTCCTTCCCAACTCCACATCCTAAGTCAACTTTATGCCCTTGTACATATAAAACAAAACCAAGCAAAACAAAGACCAACAAACGTTTTTTGCCCCACTAAATGAATTATCTCATGGATTTTGTTTTATTGTTTATGGAAAATGGTGCAGCAACACTTCTGGTAAACAGGAGCCTCACACCAAACAGAAACACCTCTCCTCAAACTCCACCAGATCACAGCCAGATTAGAGGACCCTGCCAGTCTGTCGGTTCCTATATAGTGAAAAAGAACTTGTACCTTGGAAGGCTCTGGCTTGGTACAAGGATATTCCTGCTGCCAGGAGAAGCACTTGCCACATGAAATTTTGACTTAAATACACTTTCCTGTACTATCTTTGATCCTAATTTTAGCACTAGTTTTTTCATTTCACTTTCCAGGATTGAAATATAAAGGGACCTTTGTCCAAAGGCAAGTGACATAGGCCTTATACTTGTTGCTATCCTTAATTTCTTCATTCATGACACTTGCCTTTGAAGGGGTGGCCTGCCCCTCCACACCTGTGGGTGTTTCTCGGGCTATGCACATCCTGCATAGCCCTAAATCCATTAAACTTTGAGTCAACACAGCACATGTCTCTGCGAGCACACGGTTGGGGCTAGGGTTACAGATTAACAGCATCTCAAGGCAGAAGAATTTTTCTTAGTACAAAACAAAATGGAGTCTCTCACGTCTACTTCTTTCTACATAGACACAATAACAGTCTGATCTCTCTTTCTTTTCCCCACATCCTTAAAGACTAAAATTCTCCTTCCTTTTGTTAAACAGATTCCTGTCCTCAGCCCTGATGGTTACTGGCCAAGATACGTATCCCAGTGGATGAGAACATCTCCTTCATCTCCTTGGTCATTGTCAGGGTGACATGCATGTGATCAACACTTGGTCACACAACTGTCCAGCTGTCACTTCGCCTAAAGATCCTCACTCCCTGCATCTAGTGAATCTCTGGCTTTGTCGTTGCAATGCATGGTGCACTGGGACAGGTGGCATTGGAACTTCTTTATCTCCGTGGTCCTCAAGGCTTGGTCTTGAGCCAGAGGCATGTGGCAGTCCTCTGTGCACTGCCACACCTGCTGCATAAACACCTGCCTGTCCTCAAAACATCTGGTGCTGAACATGAAAAATTACAACTCCCAGATGTAACTCCCTCAAGAGGCTTCTTTATAGAGTCCACCATCTTCTGAGCCCGGAGCTCCCGCAGCTCTGCCATGGCAACCAAGAGCTCAAGCAAATCTTTTTAATGTTCTTCACTAAGCTTCCTATCAACATATACTATTTCTATTTTTTTTCTTTTTCTTTTTTTTTTTTTTTTTTGAGACAGGGTCTTGCTCTGTCACCCAGGCTGGAATGCAGTGTCATGATCATAGCTTAGTTTACTGCAGCCTTAAACTCTTGGGCTCAAGCAATCCTCTTGCCTCAGCCTCTTGAGCAGCTGTTACTACAAGCACACACCACCAGGCCCAGCTAAGTTTTTCTATTTTTTGTAGAGACAAGGTTTTGCCATGTTGCCCAGGTTAGTCTAGAACTGGGCTCAAGCGATCCTCTTGCTTCAGCTTCCCAGAGTGCTGGGATTACAGCCACGAGCCACTGCACCCTGCCATATTTCTTTTTTGACACCCCAAAATATGTGTTGGGATGTCAATGTATTTTAATGGTTTTACATATGTTGTGAAATAACATATATTTTTTAAATGTTACTGTATTTTTTTTAAAAAATTACTTCTTGAATTTTTGTGAATGGTCTTAGTGTCTTTGTTTTCAAAATATATGTTCATTTTCAATCTCTGGCTGTCTAAGGCAGGCATGAAGCTTCAAGGAGCATGTTTGAAGGAGCACTGGGGACAAGCAGACACATCAGATCGAGGCCATAGTCCCCCAAAAGTCTCCCCTACAATAAGCTCTCATCATATTTATTTCCAGAATTTCACCTTAGCTTTCTGACCTCCCTTGTTCTGGCTCTGCACCAGCCCTGGTTGGCCTCATTTCACATTCTCACCTCTAAATGTTAGGCAATTTGCTTTCAGATCTCAGTACTTCCTGTCCCTTCTCCCCTTTGGCTCTTCGTTTCCATCCTCTATCAGTTGGTCAATCCTCTCCAATGGGAACTTGACTTTAGCTCCTACTCCAGTCTTGCCCTTGTAGAGCCCATGACACCTGAAATTCACTCTGGCCTTGGATATGGTACAGCAGTGTGAGAAAAACAAAGCCTGGCATACCAGCCTGTGGGCATGTGTGGCTACCAATTAACTAAAATCTTATTTCAGCTCCTTTACTGTGATTTGGATGAGAGAAAGTAAAAATGTAAAGTTCACAATATCAACACACGGCACTACCATCTTATTTTACTCATTTTATTATTACTTCAGAAATGCCCTTTCTCTCTCCCAACTTGCCACCATGATCATTGTAAATGTCATTGAATGTTGCTTTGTTAGCACTGAGAGGTTGTAGGAATTACATAAATCACCTCATCCAATTACTTCTTTTTTTTTTTTTTTGAGACCAAGTCTCGCTCTGTCGCCTAGGCTGGAGTGCAGTGGCGTGATCTCAGCTCACTGCAAGCTCTGCCTCCCGGGTTCACGCCATTCTCCTGCCTCAGCCACCTGAGTAGCTGGGACTACAGGCACCCGCCACTATGCCTGGCTAATTTTTTGTATTTTTAGTAGAGACAGGTTTCACCGTGTTAGCCAGGATGGTCTCGATCTCCTGACCTCGTGATCCGCCCACCTCGGCCTCCCAGAGTTCTGGGATTACAGGTGTGAGCCACCGCGCCCGGCCCAATTCCTTCATCTGACAAAAGAGGAAATGGAAGTGAACTGCCTGATCTTTAGCATGAAAATGGAATTACTTGGTGAAAAGTTGTTTAGATTTAATTTTGGTCATAATGATGATGATGGTCGTGGTAGTGACTAATGTAGAGTATGGTGGGTGAAGTGGAAAGATCTCTGGACATAAACTAAGAAGACCTCAGCCCCTAATCTGCTTTCACTTCTTCCTGCTCATCTTACTGTAGGCAAGTCATTTCCCTCTGACTTCATGTTGTTGGTAGTGATAAAAGGAAGGAGTTGGCTCAGAAGAACTCAAAGGTCTCTTTCCTTCTGAAGTTTTAATGTCTCTGATGATAAAGCTCATAGTTTCAAAAATATTCTTGTCCTGGACCGGTGCAGTGGCTCACGCCTGTAATCTCAGCACTTTGGGAGGCTGAGGCCGGCAGAACACCTGAGGTCAAGAGTTCGAGAACAACCTGGTCAACATGATAAAACCCCATCTCTACTAAAAATACAAAAATTAGCTGGGTCTGATGGCATGCACCTATAATCCCAGCTTCTCGGGAGGCTGAGGCAGGAGAATCACTTGAACCTGTGAGGCGGAGGCTGCAGGGGGCCAACGTCGCACCACTGCACTTCAACCCGGACTCTTTTCCTAAGACATATTAAAATTTAGTCCATGACAATGATTCAATGTATTTTCAGCTAGATGTAAATTTATCAATATATGAAACAAAATCAAAGTTAATAAGATTTGCACAGAATACTGTAATTTCCTGAGCGCTAACTTACGACTATTTTATTTACATCTGATCTATGTAAGGTATGATTCTATCAGCATTTCACAGATGAGGAAACAGGTTTAAAGAAATGAAATGACTTGCCCAGTATCTTATAACCTTTAAGAGGTGGACTCTATGTATGAACCTGGCTGTTGATAGATTTATGCTCTTGTCAATATACAAGAGCTTCCTCATAATTGTCAGGAAAAGAGTTACTAATGTAGCCACTAAAAAATTAATAATAAAGGAGTTCTGTTTCACCACATACATTATACAGCCAGGTCAAAAGACAAATGAGAAACAGAATGACATTACTTGGAACACATATGACAGAAAATGTTCTATTTCCTTTAGTCTCAAAAAGTATTATGAAAATGAAATCTGTGAAGCTTCCTGTCATAGATATGTTCTTTTTTTCTTTCTCTTTTTCCCACCTATATGTGTCCTCACCAAAAGTAATAGGCTCCTCCCACCTATAACCAATTAAGTCTAATTTTTAGTTTTTAATGTATGAGCGTTTCTGTCACTTTGCTGCTGATACTCTTAAACTCAATCTTCCTTCTATATCATTGCATTTGCTCATTGCACACAGTGCCATATTGCTGAAAGGAGGATTTTTCTATCTTTATGTTGCTACAGAGGATTTTAGTGTGAATTCAAAGTTATACAAGATGACTGTTGCCCTAGAGAGAAAAAATCTGGCATTTAAAAAAAAAATTTTCCGTTTGAAATAAGCACTTAAAATATTTTAGCTGGTATTACTAGTAGTGTTATTATTATTGCTATTCCACAGAAGGGAACAAAATATTCATGTTTCATATGCAAGAACTGCATATTTAACTGTCCAGCAGGAAAAACTCCTGTTAAACATATTGTTTCTGTTGACTAAGTGTGGGTAACAGTAAAAGGTTAAGAAGGTGTTCTTTACAGAGGTTTACTCTTGCCATTGCCAAGAGCCTGATGCAAAACACACACCCAAGATGAAAATAGCACACCAACCCTTTGCAGCAGCTGTTCTGTTGCTGTGGAGTATGAACTCACCATGGCAGAGTGCGCTGCGTGCAATGACAGAAGTCTGCAGCTACAAATTGCCTTTCTCTCCCCTCCACCAGGGATCCATGCACATGAGCACAGACACAAACACACACATACACACACATACCTTTTCACACCCAGAAATACACAAACATTTTGACAGGGACCTAGCATCTGTTTTCATGACAGTTTAGAGACCAAAATAGGCCATGTGTGGGAGGCAGTGCAGCTTAGTAACAAGAAATGTGAAGCAGGCTTTAAAATACTTGAGTTCTAGTCCTACTTCAGCCACTATCTAGCATTAAAGAAATCATTTTTTTTTGGATTACTGTTTTCTAACATAGAGGACTGAGAGGCTAAACGTGATGACCTGGGCCAGGCGCAGTGGCTCACGCCTGTAATCCCAGCACTTTTGGACGCCGAGGCAGGAGGATCATGAGGTCAAGAGATTGAGACCATCCTGGCCAACGTGGTGAAACCCCATCTCTACTAAAAATACAAAAAAATTAGCTGGGCATGGTGGCGTGCACCTGTAGTCCCAGGTACTCAGAAGGCTGAGGCAGAAAAATCGCTTGAACCCAGGAGGCGGAGGTTGCAATGAGCCCAGATCGCACCACTGCACTCCAGCCTGGCAACAGACTGAGACTTTGTCTCAAAAAAAAAAAAAAAGTGATGACTTGTAAGTTTTCTTTCAGACCCAAGTTTCTATGAATTCAAGAAAAAGCTCAGGAAAGGTATTTGCTCAGGTAGCCCATTAACTATGATGGACAACTTTTCACCAGTTACAATATTTCGAAAAGCTTACTTTCCACAATGTTTACCCATATAATCCACTTTATCTGACCTCGTCTGGAATTTATTTTCCATGATTATTTATCCATCAACAGATACTTGTTGAATTTTCGTTAAATTATTAAACGCAAGGTCCCGTGGAGAATGAGGAAGTGAGGAAGATATAGTTCCTGGCTTTGGAGCTTTTATTCTCACTGTAGAGAGACGATACACACACAGTCACATTAAAGGGGTTTGTGAAGGGCTATCATGAGGTACTCCAAAGTGTCATTGGTTTTCAGATGGGGTACGATTGAACTCTGCCTTGAAACCAAAGGAAGCCTTCCTAGAGGAGATGGTATTCGCACAGGACCTTGAAGGATGGCTAGAATACCACCTTGGAGAGCAGGGTGGGAATAGGAAATGGCCATAGTCAAGGCCAGGAGATAAGCTATGAGGGAAGTACCAGAAGCATTCCATTTGACTTCAGCTAAGTCTTAGAACAGTTATTAAAACTTCATTATATGCGACAATGTGGATGTGCCTGGAAGACATCACACTAAAGGAAATAACCCAGTCAAGAACGACAAATGCTGCATGATTTCACTTACATAAGTGTGTTAGGCCATTTGCATTACTATAAAGAAATATGGTTAGGCGCAGCGCCTCACGCCTGTAATCCCAGCACTTTGGGAGCCTGAGGCGGGCAGATCACAAGGTCAGAAGTTCAAGAGCAGCCTGGCTAATATGGTGAAACCCTGTCTCTACCAAAAATACAAAAATTAGCTGGGCGTGGGCACACGCACCTGTAGTCCCAGCTACTCAGGAGGCAGAGGCAGAAGAATTGCTTGAACCCGGGAGGCGAAGGTTGCAGTGAGCCACTCCACTCCAGCCTGAGTGACAGAGTGACAGTCCATCTCAAAAAAAAAAAAAAAAAGAAAGAAAAGAAATACCTGAGGCTGGGTAATTTAAGAAATAAAAGAGGTTTAATTGATTCACAGTCCTGCATGCTGTACCACCACGGCTCCAGCATCTATTTCTAGTGAGGGCCTCAGGAAGCTCATAATCATGGTGGAAGGCAAAAGGGGAAGAGATCGGTTGGGGAGGTGCTACACACTTTTAAACAACCAGATCTCACATGAACTCAGAGCAAAAACTTACTTATCACCAAGCAGATGGTACTAAGCCATTCATGAGGGATCTGCCCCCACGATCCAATCTCCTCCCATTAGACCCCATCTCCAACAATGGGAATCATGTTTCTACATGCGATTTGGAGAGGACAAACATCCAAACCATTATCAATGAGGTATGTAAAATAGTCAAACTCACAGAAGCAGAGAGTAAAATGAATGGTGGTTGCCTGGGGCTGGGAAGTGGGAGAAATGGGGAGATGCTATTCGATGCATGTAGTTTCAGTTACGTCAGATGCTAAGATCTTCTATGAAACGTCCTATCTAGAGTTAACAATGCTATATTGAACACTTAAAATGTAAAGTGTTAAAAGGGTATATCTCATCTTAAATGTTCTTACTATAATAATGTAAAAAACTTCAAGAAGACTGACTCATTATTTCTTCCCATATAAAAATGTAAGTTGCAGAGCTTATTCTTCCTCATAGGCTATCTTGATTTCATCAAGTTAGTTTGACTAAGTGAAATTTATAACACATCTTTTAAACACAGTAAACAATATGTCACCCGTTCCCCATGCCTGAATGTTCCTAATCACTATCCGTATTATGTGTTCTTCAATCTACTTGTGCTGAAGATGCAGAAATTTTGATCTTTGAAAAATGCAGACCCAAGAAAATAAGTTAGAAAAAGCATGTCAACAAGTTAATATAAGTTGTAGTTATCACAATAAACAGATCTACTCATACAAGTTTATATTGGACTGACAGAAAGTGTGCTGTGCACAAACTGAGATGACCTATATTCATAACTGATGCTCACATTCCCAGAGCTTAGGCAAGTTGCTGAATATTCTTCACCAAGCTCAAAGAAACCCTAGTGGATGATCTCTAAGTATGGAACTAAATAGTCTATCTAAATGCGGAGACACTCTCAGAAACACCTTGTCTTGCCTTTTCTAGCAAAGTGCTCTGAATTATTTGGGTGATGTGATTTGTGTGGACCAAAAATACATATATATTTTTAATTGAGATAAGAAAGTTTCTTATTTTTCTTTATCACTTTAAAATGTTCACTCTAAAATATTAAGCTAGTTAACATTCTTTAAATTGCTAAAACAAAATATCCATGAACAAAATGTCCATTTACAAGAGTCCCAATATACTCAGCATTAAGCTAATGTAATGAGAGCATAATTTCTACTTCACAGAACCCTTGTGACTCTCAGAAATGCCATTAAATTTCTGTGCCTTGTGAGGATTTCACAGAAGTCTACCTGAAGGGTTCTCTCTTCTACTAAGGAGCACGGTGCATGGAATGACTAAGAACTGGCTAAGAGGCAAAGCATAGGCACATCAAGTATCACACCTGACTGTGGCCATGTCTATCTCTGTGTGATCCAATTCACTTCACATCAACAGAACCCAAGCTGATGACTTCAGACTTCTGGCCTGGACTTCTAATCCCTGCCTATGGTATTAGACCTCACTTAAATTCTGAATAGCATCTCAAATTTGAGAAATAGTTGAACCAAAAATCATCAATATAATCCCAGGTGAGGTATGAGTTTAAATTATATGTTGTAGTTAGAGGCATATTTAACTATTGGAGACACCATCATATGTACAATAAAGACCTTAGGAATAATGAAAGAAAAATTGTCCAGTGAACAGTTAGTCTGAAAGTTAATATCTTCCATCTAGATCCAGGAAGATAGGAAACTATTCTTATAGAAATCACAATGTAAAAGAAAGAATTATGATCTTTATTCTTCTGAAGGCATTGACAAGATAGCATTCATGTTAGAGAGGAGCTGTAGCTCCTAAATTTCTAGCATTGCCATCAAACGGTGTAATTAAAATACAAAACAAATGCAGCAAAAGCATTTGTGAGGTAACTAAAATAGTCAAACTCATAGAAGCAGAGAGTAGAATGAATGGTGGTTGCCTGGGGCTGGGCTGAAAAATCTTTCTAGCACAAGGCAGAAATGTTTGGTCCCATAAAGACAAGGATTATGAAAGATACTCAACATTCTCTCTGACTAGCAGACCTGTTCTTATACAAGGAAATAAACAATGAAAGAGTTAAAAGAATCCTATGGGCGAGTGGATATAAATTTTAAATGCCAGAGAATCAATTATGTCAAAAGCAAAGGATATAGAGCAATAATTACAGATATTTCTTTCCCTCCTTCAAACTAAGGGCAAGGGGTTTCTGGCGAACTCCAGAGCAGCCCAGCAGTTACGCTTGCGCATATGTGTAGTTGTTGTGCTAAAGGTCACTGGATAATAAACTATATGTCATTCACTATCTTGTCTGGGATTAACTTTTCTCTAGGAATTCTTTCACTTTTCCAATATACTTCTGAATTAAAATCACTCCTTCAAATAGAGAAACATTACTCTTTACAGAAAAGTAGCCAAAAGCCAAGATTAGCCTGTGTTGACCTTGACTTTGCACTCAGTCTCATCCCTCATTTCTGATCTCTCCTTGAAGCAGGGCTGTCACTACCCCACCAGCTACCCAGCCATGTTCCAGCTTGGTCCCGTGAAGACTGGATTTTATGATCTCTAACCCACCTACCACTTTCACCAGGAATTACTGAGAATAGAATATTTCCTACAAATGGTAAATTTTACAAACATTAGTGGATCTTACCTATCACAAAGTTTCAAAACAAAACATCTTTAAGTAACACATGGCATCTCTTAAGAATTTTTTTTAAAAACTCAATTAGACCAGTGTTTGTATGCAAATTCAGACTTAAAATAAACCATGGGAAGATATGCATACAATCCTGGTTGTGTATAGATGGCACAAGCTATAATTTACATATTAATATTCACGGTCCAACCCAGCTACTTCAAATTACTGACAACCAGCTTTGGTTCCTTATTTATAGAACTTTCCTGGAAAGGATCAGCATTTGCTGGGAAACTAAATGACTATGTTCTAATCATGTTTCTGAGACCTCATTTTGAGATCTCAGAAAAGTCTCCAAAAAAAACTCTGTGAGATAACATTTCCATAAATGAACTCATAATGAAAGCCTTTAATAAGGACGATGGAACTAAAAATAGTTATCCCATGTAAGTGGCAGGCAGTTACAGTACAAACTCTGAGCACTCATTCTATTTTTAGTTTCTATAAGGGTAATGGGCAAAATGATACTAAATGGGTATAATGCTTCACATTGGTCTTAATTTAAAATGTCTTTTTCTTTCTAGTACTATCTATGTATTAAATGATATTAGGAAAACTCTAAAAGAGGGATGTAAGAAAAGGTAATTATTTTGTCCAATTTAAACAGGACTGCTTTCAGGTAAATTTTATGCCTCAGTTTCTCTCTATTACTTTCAAAAATTTTGTCAGTCATCTTGCTGGGAAAAATTTCCTTTGAAAGTTGCTAAGATTTCTATAATTACCGCTACCATTATGGTCTACATGAAATGTAAATATCCAATTGAACTACAATATATGTCACTTTCTTTTATTAAAAAAATACATATATACTGTATCACATGACATGAAATAAGACTTAATGTTTTCTAATTTCCCCCTCCCATTATTTTGTTGCTGACCTGTTATCTAATGTAAAATTTAGAACAAACCCAGACTATTTCCAACCATGCAGATAGCTCATTATCCAGGTGTCTTAAAGATGAAGGGATTAGTAAGCATAAGGGTGGTGCTATGAAGGAGCTGGAATCCTGGGAATTGAAAACTAGCCTAAGCCAAATCTTGCTCATGATCCAAATCTCCTATTGGGAGATAAGGTTGGGATTTGAGATAAAATATGCCACATTATCCCAGACACAATCCACCATTCATTTTACCTATTGTATTGATATGTCCCACACCCCAACCTGCAACACACATACCCATATACACAATCTCTAACTCTTTGGCCTTTAAATTTGTAACCGAAGTAGAGTTGCAAGGCCAACCCAACACACTTGGCCTAAAGCCTTTTTTCTCCCGATTTTAATAAAACAGTATTTTTGATACTTCATTAAAAAGAAGAGATGCTTCAGGAATTTTCTGTTTCCTAACCATCACCTGGTATTATTCATTCAACTTTGTGTGCATGTATGTGTTTTAACAAGCTCTCATAAATTACACATGATACTAAGCTTGGCCTTTTCATGCAGCTGTTGTTTGTGAGTACGTTGGGTTTAGTGCTGTTAATGGTGGAGGCATACTCATGACTGCGCCCACATCTCCAGCTAGAAAACAGATTCTTGTAACTCACATCACCTTTGTTGACAGGAAGGTCAGCAGTTTAAACATTTTTATTTATTTATTCATTTGCCCTTTATTTAGTTTTTGATGAGGGAGGAATTGGGGATAGGGAGATGTTGACATATGTATTTATTTATTTATAGTGACTATCAGCATGCACCTTGAGCTTTTAAAAACTGAAATATACTTGCATGTGACAGTTAAACATATATTTTATAATATACAATGTGACTGTACATAGAACTACTGTGAAATTTGGGAAAATTGATACCTAGAGAACCAAGCTTATTCTATTCTACTATCTGTTCTTAAATCAGATCTTAGAGCAGATACTAAAAGTAGGAGTTCAAATGCATGTCTATGAGGTCAGGTAGCAGCAATGTTCTTGCCAGATTGAGGACTGACAAAAGATAAAGAATATATTTAAGATATAGTTTTCTGCCACTCTTCTGTTGTTCTTGAACCTCAAGTTCTAGAGGCATGCTCAAGGGTAGTGCTTTATTTTCCTGTTGTTTTTCATGGCAAGAATGGAGGCCAACATCCTTAGCAAACTGACACATGAACAGAAAACCAAATACTACATGTTCTCACTAATAAGCGGGAGCTAAAGGATGAAAACTCATGGACACATAGAGGTGAAAAAGAGACACTGGGGCCTACTTGAGGGTGGAGGGTGGAGGGTAGGAGGAGGGAGAGGATCAGAAAAAATACCTATTGGGTAACAGGCTTAATCCCTGGGTGATGAAGTAACCTGTATTACAAACCCCTATGACATTAGTTTACCTATATAACAAATCTGCATATGTACCCTGGAACCTAAAATAAAAATTAAAAAAAAAAACCACTAGGTTGAAAACATACTCCTATTGATGGAGATAGGATGCTCTCAGGATCATCATCCCTCTGCCTAAGCCTGGTTTTTGTCAACAAGCTCAAACTCAATTTGAGAATCTTCAACAAGATCTTAATTAGTTGATCAGTCTCTCACAGTAGCATCTATATTCCCTTTAAGAGTGATTTCTTCTGCCAGCAATACTGTGTCCTTTGTCAAAGCCAGCCCCAGACCTTGCCTAATGTATCCTGTGGTTCCAAGGCAGATTGGCCAGAGGCTTTAAGACTGTAGGGTATCTACAATCCTCAGGTAAAAATAACGTGATATGAAGAATCAAAGAGCCTCCTGGGTTGCAGATGATAACAATCCACAGATCGAAACATCTCTTCTCTTTTCTGAGTGGCATGACCCATTCCTAAGGACTTAAACACCAAGCTCTCCCTGCTTATTGACTTTGGGACCCAAGGGATATGGCCTGGTTACACCTGATCATAAGCTTAGCTTTCCCAAGATTTTAGTAAATATATATCTATTGGAAAAAAGTAAGTGGAGTCTGTCTTTCCAAATATTAGCTTATGACTTAACAACCATGTTTCAGATATGTTTTTCCACTCTACAATGACCCTATCTTCTGCCAGTTTCAATTCTGTTTACTTCTTTAATCTCTACTACCCCACTAATCTAATGTTCCTTTGCTTTGTTCTGGGGCTACGTGGACTCAAGTCAGCTGCCCTTCAATCCTTGTTTTGTGCCCCAACTCTCATTCTATTCTCTCCTTAAAGATTAGATGTGCAGGAGAGTAAAATAAATGAAAGGGAACTTTCCCTTTTCCTCAATTGTCTCTGCCAATAGGAATGGAAACAAAAAAATTCTAGGGCTACCTCCATGATGTGGACTACACTGTATCTCCTCAAAATGCATATGTTGAAGCTCTAACCACCAGTTCCTCAGAATGTGACCACATTTGGAGATTAAGAATGGCTTAAGGAGATGTATATGGGTGCCAACTAGACTTGTAATGGTCAGTTCAGTGTGTCAACTTGGCTGGGCCATGGTCCCTGGTCCCTGGATATTTTGTCAAACGTTATTCTGAATATTTCTAGGAGGGTGTTTTCAGACAAGATTTACATTTAAATCAATGAACTTCGAGTCAAGCAAATTGTCCTCCATAAGGTGAGTGGGGCTGATTCAATCGGTTGAAGATCTGAATAGAACAAAAGACTGACCTCTCCCCAAACAAGAGAGAATTCTGACAACAGAAATCTTATGAACTTAAACTGCAACATCAGCTTTTCCTGAGTCTCTAGACTGCCAACCCAGCCTGAAGATTTTAGATTTGCCAGTCTCCATAATTGTGAGCCAATTCCTTAAACTAAAGCACTCTCTTTCTGTCTGTCTCTGTCACACACACACACACACACACACACACACACACACACACACACACGCACACACACAAATTGGTTCTGTCCCTCTGGAGAACCCTGACTAATATTCCCTGCCATATCTCACCTAGCATGCCTGTTCCTATCTGCTGAGTCTGGAAATATCATCTCAGAACTTTGCCGCTACAGTTGGTTTTGAAGGACCTACTCTTCACAGATGGTTAAGTTGGAAGCTCTGAGAGTGGAAGGAGCCTCTCTTATATAGATTAGTAGTTACTTCTGTAATTAAAAAATACATCTATCCCAGTGCACACACTTTTATTCCTATCACTGTTTCTATAAAGCTTTTCTCCCACGACTGTCACTGTCTGAGCTTAGGTGTAGTCACTTTACTTCTGGAAAAGGTTGAGGGATAAATTAAGGGACATGACTGTGGCACCTTCTGCTCAGCAACTTCAGCATTTCTTTAAAAGGAGGGTAAGGGATGCGACACTTCTCTTTCATCTTTTTCCTTAGCCTTTCCTTCAACTGCCAGGACATGTTCTTACACCTTGCATTGATAGAATCCTAAAAACACTAACAGAATCCTAAAATAAAATATGAGACAAATAATCACGTTAAGAATTCTTTTCTCCCACCATGATTGCATAAGAGAAAAATTTTCCTTTAAAAGCAGGATAAACATTATAATTTATGCTCTATATTCTGATAGTGTTAAAAAAGCTATTGTAGACATTGCTAAGTAGATGCATCAAGAGATTTAAGTATTGTTGTCTTTTTTTTAATTGAGTTTTTCCTCTCAGTCCTGAGTCTTGTCCCCTTTGCTATAAATATTTTATTACTACTACTTTATTAAAACAAATACTTGTTTAGCCAATTGTATATTTGAATATGGGTTTGTATGCATGTAATATACAACTTCTCAAATGCTGAAATGTGTAGACATCAAAAATGACCTTAAGAATGACCACAGACACATAATAAATCCTTGATATATTATTTCCACATGTGGCATTTCTCTTCTATATCATTCAGATCACCTTGTCTTGTGTGGGAAGAAACCCATTGCCCTGTAATTTTACTGCATTCACTTTGCAATTGAAGGAAAAAAAAATTCTGTACATGCCAGTTAATCATCCTAGATGTAAGCACCAGCTGCACTTTCTGCTTTGTTTATGAGCATATTTTACTTCAGGTAAACATGGTAATTCTGGCAGAAAATTGATATGAATCCTGCCATTATGTATTCATTTTTAAAGAACATTTACATTTGTACAAGAAAGAATGTTAAATTTGAGGAAGAGAAACTTGAATTCGTGTCTTGGCTCTGCCACCTCGATTCTAGGTAAGTTAATTAGTATTAGTTTCCACATCTGTAAGTTGGGATAATACCATTTACTTCAGAGGGTTGCTGTGAAAATGAATAGGAGTAATTTATGTAAAGTTTTGCAGTACCTGGACATTGCTTTTGTTCAGTTAATTATTGTTTAACTCATTCCCACCTGTAAAGAAAATAATTATAATATCTGCTTTATCTTTTAAACAAACTATGATGAAAAAAATGTAGTACTAACCACAAATACTCTTAGGGATACTTTTAGAGGAAAATGCAAACATAAAGTATGACCCCTTGTATGTGCGTGTATGTGTGTGTGTGTGTGTGTGTGTGTGTGTGTGTATTTCATTCTACATGCATAAACATTCTGTGTTAAAACCATTAGTCCTAGTTCCAATCAGCATAACTGGGGATCCTTGCTTCTTTCCATATGCCTGTCCCAGCTTTTAAGTTCAGTTCTAAGCAACAGGAAAAATGTTAGTCAAAATGTTTCAGAAATGGTTGACATAGAGTCAAGTCATTGTTCTTGCTGTAAATTAATGAATAACTGCCAGTTAACATCTTATTTCAACCCTGCTGACAGAATCCATACACACAGAATAGCGCGAGCCAGCTGGAATAAGCCCTCACTCAACAGAGAGAATGAGTCATTAATTCCTTTTCTCAGGTTTGGGCAGCTGGAGTACAATTCATGGAACTAAACAGGAGGGAGGTTATATCTATCAGGAGAGTGGGCCGGACATAAAAAGAGAAATGGAGATTATTTGTTCTTTAGAAATTGAAAAATGTTAATGAACAAAGCTCAGCCAGGAAAAATTGTTTGGAGAGACACCCATTCATAAAACTAAAGTTCTGTTTCCTTTGGTCCAGTTATATTAATGCAGGCAGAGCTCACGGTCAGAGTCTTCAATGGATACCAGGGGCTACCCTAGAACAATACCTATAGCAAATCAGGTCAGGTCCTCTCAGCGTTATTTATTCTGATCTGTTGCTCCGGTATTTGCCTGTTTTGTGTTGCTATAAAGGAATACCTGGGACTGAATAATTCATAAAGAAAAGTGGTTGATTTGGCTCATGGTTCTAAAGGCTATACACAAAGTGTGGTGCCAGCATCTGCTTCTGGTCAGGAACTCAGGAAGCTTGCAATCATGCTGGAAGGTGAAGGAGGAATAGACATGTCACATGGTGAGAGCACAGGCAGGAGAGAGGGGAGAGAATCACCAGACTCTTTTAAACCATCAATTCTTGCATGAACTAACAGAGTAAGAACTCACTCATTACCACTGGGAGGGAACCTATGACCCAATCACCTCCAGTGAGGCCCCACCTCCAACATGAGGAGGTCGCATTTCAACATGAGATTTGGAGGGGACAAATATCTAAACTCGATCACTTGCTTAGGAGGATGTGAAGTTGTTTTATTTTTCTCTCTTGTACATATGGAAAAGGACAAGAATAACACTACCAAATATTTTACTATATGGCCAATTACAATTTATTTGTGGAGTGGACCTACTGACTTCTGAGTGTGTTGGAAGAACTACATGATTGCTTCCTGTTGGTCTCTCTGATGGAGAGCCCAAGGGAATTCAGCCCCCAATAGGAAGGAGCTGGTCTGATACTGACAAAGCCTCATCCAAGCCTCACATTCAGCTTCCCATAATTACAAATCAAACTGCCTACCCTTCTCATAGAGAAACCTGAGTAGTCAGATTTGTTTTCATCAAAAATTCTAAGCATATTCACTTCATCCCGTATAGCACCTGTATTAGGCTCATCAAAGTTCCTGATATCAGAAGTTTCAAACTCAGTGTAAAATTACACTATTTCAGCTACAAAGCTTTTTGATGTCAGTTTCTATCGTAATTACATTTTGCCAGGTTTTTTAAAATTTCAAAAGCAATACATGATCAATGTAAAAATTTAAAAATGCTAAAACGCACAAAAGAAGAACCTTAACCATGATCATATGATTCATTCAATTAATCTATATTTCTTACACCGACTATCTGCCAGGGACTGTAGATATAAGCACTGTTAATACTTATGGTCTAGCTTCAGAAATGCAGGTAAGTAGATATTCATATTTATGCTTGTAGTAGTTAACAATTTTTTGGGGGGGAGGGGATGAAGTTTTGCTCTTGTCGCCCAGGCTGGAGGGCAATGTGCGATTTCAGCTCACTGCAACCTCTGCCTCCCGGGTTCCAGCGATTCTCCTGCCTCAGTATCCCAAGTAGCTGGGATTATAGGCACTTGCAACCATGCCCAGCTAATTTTTGTAGTTTTAGTAGAGACGGGGTTTCACCATGTTGGCCAGGCTGGTCTCGAACTCCTGAACTCTGGTGATCCACCTGCCTCAGCCTCCCAAAGTGCTGGGATTACAGGCGTGAGCCAACATGTATAGCCAACAATTTTTTTTAAAAGAGAGAGTGTTTAACGTTGTTTATTAAGTGTAACCTCAATGACATTATGAGAAGAATGTTGAAATAGAGTCAGAAGCCTGGGTTGTAGATTAATCTTACTAGTTGACCTAGGACAAACCAAGTTTTCCTTGTACCCTTTAGGACTTTTTATATCTAACATTCTGTGAATTTTACTACCAGTAACCAATATGTGCAGTTCTTTATAAAGCCCATTATTCAAATGATGCCCAGTGTTAATTCTTTTTCTAAATCAACAATAGACTTTTCTGTCATAATAATTTGGCACAATCATTCACGTGGTTGTACCTCAAAGTACGCATCTACATGACTTAATTTTTTTTTTTTTTACTTAAGTTCAGGTGTACAATGGCAGGTTTGTTATATAGGTAAACTTGTGTCATGGGGGTTTGTTGTAAAGACTATCTTATCACCCAGGTATTAAGCCTAGTATACATTAGTTATTTTTCCTGACCCACTCCCTCCACCCACTTTCCACCCTCCGATAGACCCCAGTGTGTGCTGTTCCACAGTCCGTGGAATTTTAGTCAAAACCTGTTACTTACAAACAAACAAACAACAAATGAATACAAACACTCAACGTGAACTATGTTAACAGAATAACATGCTGAAACACCCCAGAATTATTTTCTTTTTGGTATTTAACAATACACTTCTAATCATTTTGGAGTATTAAACACTTTTTAGTTTATTTATCCATTTGAAATACGCATACATGATCAGTCACAGAGATAAGAGCCAACCAAAAATGGTCAATAAAACCAAGGCCTGAATAAAACTGCTGCATTTCTAATCAGTGTTACTAACAGTTCAGATCCCTGAGTTTCCCCTGAAACCAGCTTTGCTCATGAAAGGGTCAGGAGAAGCAAACCACACCACTCTGGGTGGTATCAATGGTAAATGCTATCTAACTCTGTAAAGAAGTACCTAAGGCATTTAGGCAGAAAAGAACAGGGGAGAATAAAAGACATGACAATAACAATACACAGCTGGCTCTCCATGTCTGTGGGTTTGGCTTCCACAAATTCAACCAATCATAGATCAAAAATATTGGAAAAATAAAAGTTAAAAACATGTGGCCGAGCGCGGTGGTTCATGCCTGTAATCCCAGCACTCTGGGAGGCCAAGGTGGGCGGATCACTTGAGGTCAAGAGTTTGAGACCAGCCTGGCCAAGACGGCGAAACCCCGTCTCTACTATGAACACAAAAATTAGGTGGGTGTGGTGGCCTGTGCCTGCAATCCCAGCTACTTGGGGGCTGAGGCAGGTAGAATTGCTTGAACCTGGGAGGTGGAGGTTGCAGTGAGCTGAGATTGCACCAATGCACTCCAGCCTGGGTGACAGAGCGAGACTCCGTCTCAAAAAAAAAAAAAAAAAAAAAAAAAAAAAAAAAAAAAAAGGTTAAAATATTAAAAAATAATATTAATTTTAAAAATGCAGTATGGCAACTATTTACATAGCATTCACATTATATTAGGTATTATAAGTAATCTGCTTAAAGTATACAGATACTATGCCATTTTATGTAAGGGATTTGAGCATTTAATTTTGATATCCATGGGGGTTCTGGAATACATTGGAAAAAAAGGAGAGAAATTACCCATCTAGTAATATTTGTACAACACAGTAATCTCTTCTTTTTCTAAAAAACGTTTTGTTTACTTGTTGTTATAAATACTCAAGTAATGTTATAAATAGAATAACCAATGTACCCCTTTTCCTGACTGGCATGATTTATTCCTGTACTCTGGTATGATTCTTAATAACTTCCTTGTTAGGGTATAAGTAATATGGTCAGTGATAGAAGAGTTTGGAAGTGTATATTTTGGAGGCATAAAAGGTTCAAAAATGTTTAAGGTTGTCTTTATGGAATATCTCTACCAGAGCTCTACTTTCATTCAAGGACTAACATTTACATGGAGCTTACTCCAGCCAAGCACTGCTCTAGTGCGTTACACATAGTAGGTCATTTGACCCACTCACAACAACCCCACAAGGTAAGCTGCTATTAACATTTCTTTTTTACATATGAGGAAACTGAGGCATCCTGCCTAAAGGCACACCACAAAAAAGTAGCCTATTTGAGATATGAACTCAGGCAATCTGAATCAAGGGGCCTTGTTTTAACTACTATATACCTTTCAAATCTATTTTTAAAATTAAATTTGTTAGGTCACTTGATTGTTCATATTGATTGAAAAGAAAAAAACAACAGTTTGTTCATAATTAGTCAATAATTTGTTTATAAATCCCACCCAGTAATTTACAAATATGACAATGAAAGAAATCTACAATATTCATTCCTCTTTTCACATTGCTATTTCCAATGAATTCATAACAGACACTGACTGAAAATGAAATAGCCTAAATTGTCTTTCATTTCCCAATAAACAGGCTAAAGAAGAGAAATATAGCTACTAAATCAACTAGATACTCTTAATTCCCAGACACACCTACCCCTGACCCACACGCACTGCCCTAAGAATCTTGAGGAACAAGATAAAGACGTAGAGGCTTTCAAGAACACAGTTCCATTTACAGAAAGACAAAAGGAAAATTCAAACAACTTTCATTGGGCCACTTCACTATCAAACCATATCCTTTGATCTGCAATTAAGAGCTCATTAATTCTTTTTCAAACATATATTTACACACATTTAAATATGAGGCTCAAGCTTCTACAATTCTAATCATGCTTGAGTATCTGACCTCCCTGCTAACATCAGGTTTGAAGAATAAGGGAACTATTACTAGGAACTGTTACAGCAGCAAGAGGTGACAGCTGGCTGCTAGAAAGATGACCAAAAAAATCTCAAAAGTAGATGCAGAAGTGTCTTCATTGCAGTGAGGAAAGTATACCAATATTGATATCCCCAGAAGCCATCACAGAAATTAATAAGTTATATTTAGCATCCTTGGTTTAGTATAGTACCTCTTGAAAAAGTTATGTTAATAACTGTGAAATTATTATTAACTGTGAAAGTTTTGTGGTTGCAGTTGAGAACCTTAGTTACCTTAATTAACTTTCTAGAGGTTGTCTTTGTCTAGTGATACTTGTACAATGTAGTAAACTTTTTGTTAATAATAATATCTGATATCCAGTAAGTCATCCACCTTGATTATGGATAAAATATTATTTATTGCTACATAACAGCATTTAAAAGAACCTGACAATTCAAAGAGGTAGGACATGAAAAAAATAACTTTCTAATCTATGATTGCCTGCATAGGGATAAACTCCAAATGAAAAATTAAAATTTACATGACCTAACTGCATTGTTTACCAAATATAAAACAACTGTATATTTGAAACATCTGGATCATTCAACGAACATGTGACATTTATCCTTCTGTGTGGAAGTGCATAGATGCAGCCTAAATGACTGTTAGCAAATGCCTAGATATGTTTTCCCAGGAGGGTAGCTATAGTTTTCTTAGATTTCCCTTCTGTAAAACAACGGTGGTATTAGACACATCATCTGTCTTTCAGACACTCAATTCAACTTTAGAAAAGAGAGACGCATAAAAACAGAGCATTTATCTTATAATTCCATGATAAGGAATTATGCCACCAAGAAGAGCTGGATGGAATTCTGCTTTTTAAGGATGAAGTCTGCTACGGAGAAATCTGCCAGGACTTTTCCATTTTTATTCCTGTGTTCTATTTTCTACCTCCAAGTTTAGTAATCCTCAGTATATGTTGGCAGAGCATAAGCTTTCTCCTCGGTTCCAACTTCCCCTTATTAACCCGAAATGAAATCCTATAAAGCTCTGTGCAGAAAAATTACAGGACCAAATGGAAACGTTGCATTAGCTATCTTCTGCCTCAAGCTTCTGCTTAATGCTGTAATGACAAGATAGTGAATGACGCGGAACACCCAAAGGGCAGGAATGGAAAAAAACGAGATGTTGAATGCATGCATGTATCTCTCAATGGAATATCTTCAGAGATAGAGGCCAGAACTTTCATAGTATCAATTTCCCTAAACATCCAACTTCCTAAAAATAACCTCAGGCTATCTCTTTGACCAATTTTTTTTTTCCCAGACCTGATGCCAGACACTATATTTAGGACCGAAGCTGGTTTAGATGATTTCATCCCATTCATTCAAAATTCCCCTTCACACAAGAGATGTTAATAATAGAAGTGAACAAAGACCAGAAAACTTTGGCAAAAGTCTTGAAACTCAAAAGTGGAGGGGGTAGAGCTGTGTAGGAGTTGTAATTTGTGCCATTATTGTCAACAGTAAACTCCTGGTTTCTCAGAAATTAACACAATAAATTCTTTAAAACTCTCTTATTTGCCATGAAGCCAATGAGGCCTTAAGAAATAGAAATTCAGATTCAATTTAAAATAAATCACCATATAAGCAGTTATGTTATTTGCCCTCCTACCCAGAAGAAAAGTAAAAACAAAGTGGAGTTAGGTCATTTTGATCACTATTACTAATTTATTTTTATCTATGAATTTAATGCTAATCCTTTGTAAAAAACAATTAAAAGAATTTCAAGAAAGCTATTCTATAATTCAGAGTGGAAAGGTACATGACAGAAAACTGGAAACATTTGTTTTCTTTAATTAGAGTCAAAGGGTGGTAAAGAATCTTTTGGAGACATGGAGTTGGGGGTGGGTAACTGACTTGGCATCACCCTAGATTACTGCCAGCACAGTTTATAACTTTATTTCCCCAGAGGAAATGAAAGATAGAGGCCCAAAAGGGAACAGAATGACTAAGGGCCTCTTTTTCTTACTTTTTTTTTTTTTTTCAATCACAAGGTTTTGGGTTTCTTATTTTTTTTAGAAGTTAGAGTGGTTCTCTGGTGTTCTTTTGTATTTTGGCAATTCTATACTGAAAAGTGCTTACTCATGATGAAATCTCTAAGAATTCCTTCAGGATAAAGATACCTTGCTTAAGTTTATTTAATGGCGAGAGTCATATTCTGTATACTGTTTACCTAATTGCCAGGATGAATTATGGTTATGTGGCATATCTTTTCATAAGAAAAGGTTTAAGAAGTTAAAAAAGAAAGAACTCTGCCTTTCTTCCCTTTCTCTTTATTTTACCCTTAAAGAACCTTATATTAAGCTAGCAATGTCCTCATACACTTCGTCTACTAACTGCCTTGTGTTTTTCTAAAAGTTAAAAATGCTTACCATTTGTTAAGACTCTCATTGTATGAATGATCTAATTGAATCACCAAAACCACTTTGGAGATCAGAGAGTTTAAATACATAGCTTGTAAGCAACAGAGCTGAGATGCAAACCTAGGTTTATTTGACTCCAAGGTCTGGGCTCAACCACTCCATTTATGCTTCTCTCAAACACCACTGCACCTGCTTGAGAATTCTTTCTCACTGCAGGTAGTTTTCAAAAATAGTTATCATGAAAGAAAACCTCAGTTTGATTGCCTCATCCCACTGCCCACATTTCCACGGTCATATTGGGAATACTAATAATGAAATGTTCTAAAGTACTTTATACTTCCTAGTTAACGGCGCAGAAGGAAGGGCCATGAATGATTTAGAAAGTTAATCTACAGAATCTACCAATACAGGAATGCATCCCTGATAGGAAGATAGCCAGGACCAGACTAGCTCATGCAAATCTTTAGAAACAGTCTTTGACAAGAAAACTGAGAAGATCGTGTCTAATTTTGAAAGTTCATTCACATATAAACCAAGTGCTAATCTTTAAAACCAGAATACTCTACGACTGCACAGAGTTAACAACTGAACAATCATGTAATCTGCAATTATCTATCATAAAAATATCATTTATTTACAAAGATATTTAATAAGAGCCTCCTATCGAGTTAAGGATGGGAAATTCCAAGGTGAACACACAACAGATAAGAATTTACCTTTGTGGTGGCCAATGCGCAAGAGAAAACATGTAAATAAGCAAGCACCAGTCATGAGAAGTGCTACGGTGGAGGCTGAGAGAATGATGGGCTGGTTGAGGTAAGGCTGAGGGCAGAAGGATAAGAAGGAGGTGGTTCAGCAAAGAGCATAGAGAAGAGAATCATAGGCAGAGAGATCGGCAGGTGTGAGGCCTCGAAGTGGCACAGAGCTTGGTGCGTGCTGGAAACTGAGAACACGGTGAAGCTGAGGTGAGGTGGGAGGACGCAGGGTGTAGAGGTTAGTGCAGGAATGTGATACCAGAAGACATGGAAGAGAATGAGAGAAGTCTGGTTATGATGGCAACTTCAGATTTGGATAGTAAATGCAATAAAAATCCACTGGTCCTTTATAAGCAAGAGGCCCTTATGGTCTGATATATGCTGTAAAAAATACACTCTGCTGCCTTTGCAGAGAATGTGTTGTAAGCACATGGTTACCGGCTATTGCTCTAGGGAGTAAGAGAGCTTGGACTAGGGTGATACAGATGGGAACAGAGAGAGGTGAATAGATTTGAGATGCATTTTGAAGTAGAAATAACAGTAGCAGGACTTTTTGATAAGGTGGCTATGAAAAGGAAAATAAATCAAAATCTGCACTGAGTCACTGGATAAATAATCATGGCCATTAGGAAAACAGGAAAGCCAGTGCAGTACTTTCTAATTTTCCTAGGAGTCTAAATTTCATTTGTTAAAACAATTATGGCTACTTATTGA
Source organism: Homo sapiens (assembly GCF_000001405.40). Lineage (NCBI taxonomy): Eukaryota > Metazoa > Chordata > Mammalia > Primates > Hominidae > Homo > Homo sapiens. The sequence goes on along the minus strand of NC_000008.11, from coordinate 32,070,435 downwards.
GTAGCTATTATGCTATTATTAGGCACTTTAACAGATATTTGAAAGATATTATATCATCTAACAAGCAGTCTTACAGAGCAAGGTTATAATGGTCATTTAATATATGAGAAAATGGACATTCAGAAAAATTCAAGTAACCTCTCCAAGGCATCAGTCTGGAAATTAGTAGAATCCAGTTCCGTTTGGCTTGAAAACTTGGTCTTAAACTCCCCCATGGTAGATTTTGTACCGCTCTGACTTCCAGCTATAGCTCATACCCAGGACAGTATCTGGCATATAATGTGTTGTTAATATATATTTACTACCTTCATACTTAAATACATGTAATTTCCACTATGGATCAATGCTTCTCAGAGATTCTCAAGTTTACTACCTTTTATTGACATCTTAAATAAAGATACTATTTGAGTAGATTCACAGGGCTATCCTTTAAACTACTGCCCAGCTGGGAACCACAAAGGACTCTCTACCGAGGATGAACTGCTCTAATTACATTCCTATTTCTGCATCCTTTGTTGAGAAAGATGTGTGGGCACGCCACACTGCTAGGACTTGGAAGGCATCACAGAAGGCTCAACTAGGACTCAGGTTCTCAAAACCACTGCAGGGAGATCTAGAAAAGTCATTCTCAGGTGAAGGATGTCCCTGGGTGAACTGAGTGCCCCTCAGTCTGCCAACACCCTCAAGGTTTTGGTACCCTTGCTTTCTATCATAGGTTTCTGCACCCTTGGGTTCTATCATGGGTTGATGCTAGTCTCAGGGTCACAAGCATCCTTACCCCGAGGTGCAGTCTTCCAAAAAGGTCCCATTCCACTGTCAGGGCTTAGGCCACCCCACTAGCACCATTTAGAGTCTCTCTCTTTTCTAAGAAAATTCCCCATCCCCACAGCTTCCCAATCATGAAGTCTTGATTTTTGACACCCACCCAGTTCATCAACCATTGCTAGAAAGTTCTATTTAATTCACGACTTTTCAAAGTATAAGCATTTTCTGCACCTTACTTCTAGGCAGATGACCAAAACAAACATAAGACTGTGTCTCAAGCTGATTCTGTACTATTATACTTCATCATAACTCTAATCCTCAAAGCCCGTGCTCAATGATATTGATGATCTCCCATAACATATGCTTTATTCCAACTTGGATTTTACCTCTCCCTTTCCAACAGTATCCAAATGTATAATTCATCTACTACTCTTTGTCTTGCTGTAGGGGATTATTTGTCAAACTCAGATAAGTTCACTTTGAACTCTAAAAGACTTCCAGTAAACACAGTTCTGGTATAAGTCTCCTGCCTGTGAGCAGACAGACCCTGAGGACGGTTCATCCCTCCTTCAAGGAGATAGCACCTGGCCCCCTTCCTGCCATTCTGCTTTCCTTCCCATCTATCAAGCTGGAAAAACTTCCTGATACCATTCCTCATGATTGCCATCCTCCTCACGGTTTAAGTTCTGCCATCTCACCAAAGACACCAAGTATTCCACACATGCCTTCTTCACAAAGACAGTGTGTCACCCTACATCTTCATCAGAGTCCCAGCTCAGAGTAATGAACTAGATTCTCTACTACATCATTTAGATTGGACCACTGGCAATAGCACTAAGACTTAGTTACGTAGCTAACGGTGTCAGAGTGAAATATGATTTAAAAGCATACTTCGATATCAATACTCATAACAAGACATCTTGCACTGCTATCAGTAGGGCATGAAACCCATGCCTCACCTTGGCCTGGTTAACAAGGGGCTTGAGGGCAGAATACTGTCAGGTTTTTGTAGAGGACTTTTTCTTTTACCTCAGAAGGGGTAATGCCATGCACAGATTGGAACTCTTGGCTCTCGAAGAAACCCTCTAGGATGGAAGTACTGCATCACTATTGACTTCCTCTCCTCCACTCCTCCAGTCCCTCCGCTTTTTCTCCTAATTAAGACTAGCTTGTTTAAGCCCAGAAACAGCCCCGTGGCCTTTCATGCATGTCTTTGTTGGATCCATCATCTTCTGGCATCTCATCCTGTGCTAAAGTAGTGTCTGACTTTGTCCACATTCCCTGATTTTATTTCCCAGGTTAAGTCTGAAGTCATGTCCAGGTTTCTTCACCTTATGACCACTGCTTTTGCAATTACTAATCCCACCTCAGCCTGCCCATAAGCCATGATGTCACCAAGATAAAATATCTCATGTTCTTACAGTAGAAACAAACTTTAGCTCAAAGTCTTTCTTTCATATTTTACAGAAGATAAAACTGTAGAGGTTAAGTGATTTACCCAACATACATCACAAAGTTAATTAATGATGAGAACTCAGGCCTTCTGACCTGTAGAACAAATGATCTTTATACAGTAACCATGCCATCCCATTCTTAGAAATCATATTCAGCACGGGAGGGAAACCCAAGGAGTGTTTCATGACAATTCAAGTTTGGGAACAAATGACTCATCTTGAAGGTTAGGTTCTGTTCTGAAAAACTACACAAGCATTGAAAAAGGATGCTAACAGCCAAAGTTTACAGAGAAATACATCCAGGTGTTTTCATCTTTATAAGTTTCTGAAAAATTTGTCAAACTAAATCCTGATGGGATTAAAAAGGGGATTTTTTTCTTTAAAGCCAATTAACCAGTATATGAAAAAATGTTTATATTTTCTTAGTAATCGTGTATGGATAATATATAAGACATAGTTAATGTACTTGGAAAAGTAATTTTTTAAACCAAGTTTAATGTCCTCACCTCAAAGGTGGAGGAGATCTCTTGCTGTGTAAAGAGTCTTCCAAAAGTCAAATGCTTGGTAGTAACTTCCAAAGGTGAGGTTCACTCTCAGGGTCAAAAATTGACGGCCATAAAATACTGGCAAACCAAATCCAGTAGCACATCAAAAAGCTTATCCACCGTGATCAAGTGGGCTTCATCCCTGGGATGCAAGGCTGGTTCAACATACAAAAATCAATAAATGTAATCCAGCATATAAACAGAACCAAAGACAAAAACCACATGATTATCTCAGTAGATGCAGAAAAGGCCTTTGACAAACTTCAACAACGCTTCATGCTAAAAACTCTCAATAAATTAGGTATTGATGGGACGTACCTCAAAATAATAAGCGCTGTCTATGACAAATCCACGGCCAATATCATACTGAATGGGCAAAAACTGGAAGCATTCCCTTTGAAAACTGGCACAAGACAGGGATGCCCTCTCTCACCACTCCTATTCAACATAGTGTTGGAAGTTCTGGCCAGGGCAATCAGACAGGAGAAGGAAATAAAGGGTATTCAATTAGGAAAAGAGGAAGTCAAATTGTCCCTGTTTGGAGATGATATGATTGTATATTTAGAAAACCCCATCGTCTCAGCCCAAACTCTCCTTAAGCTAATAGGCAACTTCAGCAAAGTCTCAGGATACAAAATCGATGAGCAAAAATCACAAGCATTCTTATCCACCCATAACAGACAAACAGAGAGCCAAATCATGAGTGAACTCCCATTCACAATTGCTTCAAAGAGAATAAAATACCTAGGAATCCAACTTACAAGGGATGTGAAGGACCTCTTCAAGGAGAACTACAAACCACTGCTCAACGAAATAAAAGAGGATACAAACAAATGGAAGAACATTCCATGCTCATGGATAGGAAGAATCAATATCATGAAAATGGCCATACTGCCCAAGGTAATTTACAGATTCAATGCCATCCCCATCAAGCTACCAATGCCTTTCTTCATAGAATTGGAAAAAACTACTTTAAAGTTCCTATGGAACCAAAAAAGAGTCCTCATTGCCAAGTCAACACTAAGCCAGAAGAACAAAGCTGGAGGCATCATGCTACCTGACTTCAAACTATACTACAAGGCTACAGTAACCAAAACAGCATGGTACTGGTACCAAAACAGAGATATAGACCAATGGAACAGAACAGAGCCCTCAGAAATAATGCTGCATATCTACAACTATCTGATCTTTGACAAACCTGAGAAAAACAAGAAAATGGGGAAAGGATTCCCTATTTAATAAATGGTGCTGGGAAAACTGGCTAGCCATATGTAAAAAGCTGAAACTGGATCCCTTCCTTACATCTTATACAAAAATTAATTCAACATGGATTAAAGACTTAAATGTTAGACCTAAAACCATTAAAACCCTAGAAGAAAACCTAGGCAATACCATTCAGGACATAGGCATGGACAAGGACTTCATGTCTAAAACACCAGAAGCAATGGCAACAAAGGCCAAAATTGACAAATGGGATCTAATTAAACTAAAGAGCTTCTGCACAGCAAAAGAAACTACCATCAGAATGAACAGGCAACCTACAGAATGGGAGAAAATTTTTGCAATCTATTCATCTGACAAAGGGATAATATCCAGAATCTACAATGAACTCAAACAAATTTACAAGAAAAAAACAAACAACCCCATCAAAAAGTGGGCAAAGGATAGGAACAGACACTTCTCAAAAGAAGACATTTATGCGGCCAAAAGAAACATGAAAAAATGCTCATCATCACTGGCCATCAGAGAAATGCAAATCAAAACCACAATGAGATACCGTCTCACACCAATTAGAATGGTGATCATTAAAAAGTCAGTAAACAACAGGTGCCAGAGAGGATGTGGAGAAATAGGAACACTTTTGCACTGTTGGTGGGACTGTAAACTAGTTCAACCATTGTGGAAGTCAGGGTGGCGATTCCTCAGGGATCTAGAACTAGAAATACCATTTGACCCAGCAATCCCATTACTGGGTATATACCCAAAGGATTATAAATCATGCTGCTATAAAGACCCATGCACAGGTATGTTTATAGTGGCACTATTCACAATAGCAAAGACTTGGAACCAAGCCAAATGTCCAACAATGATAGACTGGATTAAGAAAATGTGGCATATATACACCATGGAATACTATGCAGCCATGTCCTTTGTAGGGATATGGATGAAGCTGGAAACCATCATTCTCAGCAAACTATCACAAGGACAAAAAACCAAACACCACATGTTCTCACTCATAGGTGGGAATTGAACAATGAGAACACATGGACACGGGAAGCGGAACATCACACACTGGGGCCTGTTGTGGGGTGGTGGGAGGGGGAAGGGATAGCATTAGGAGATATACCTAATGTTAAATGATGAGTTAATGGGTGCAGCACACCAACATGGCACATGTATACATATGTAACAAACCTGCACGTTGTGCACATGTACCCTAAAACTTAAAGTATAATAAAAAAATAAAAATAATAAAGAAAGAAAGAAAAAATCGATGGCCACAAAGTTCTTCCCCATCCCAAGCACTTTTTTTTTTTCTGTAGGAATCATCACTAAAGGATCAGGAGCAGCCTGGGAATGATTATGTGCATTTTCATATTTTTTAAATATAAGAAACTCTAAATTCCATATATTAATAAAGCAAGTCCACAGAATAACAGAAAACAAGACTATCCCCCAATGTAATTGGTTTCTTCAAGTTTACTTGTATCATGTACATTTGTGGTGCTTTCCAAGTCAAATTTTTCTATAGCATTTTGAGTTTCTCCAATAAATTATTTTGCTATTTCAGTATCTGTACTTAAAATGGACACCTAATATATGACTGTTATGTAATAGGTACATAAAGTTTTATACTAATGTTTATTTTTTCACTAGCAGTTCTTATACTGCTGGTTTAAGAGCTGTCAAAGGTAGTAAAGGGAAGCTGACAGGTATAGCTTATAAGTAAATGAGTCATTTCCCCCAAATTGGTAAGGCTATTCCCAAAAGGATTAGCTTCGGCCAGTCTGGTCTTAGCAAATACTTTTCCTTCACAATAATCTATACATTTCTCAATGAAAAAGACTTTTCTTACCAAGCTGTTAATAATAGACTTTAGCGATAAGTTTTTGAAAATCTATGAGGTTGGATTCTGCTCTGTGCTGTGCATGCTGGTAACTGAATCCCTCCTACCAAGACAGCTGAAGGATGGCAAATTGTCAGCTCAGAGTCATCTGCTAAGTCATCAGTAGGGGCACTGCCAGCCAGCATCACCAGTCAAATCACAGTCTAGGGAACAAATGGTTTTGACAGCCAAATGAAACCTGAAAACTCAGGACACTGGAAGTAGTCTGCCCTAACTCCCTGCTATTCATTGCAGCACTTCCTTGTACCAGGTCCAGAATCTCCATCCCATCTTGACCTTATAATTCTTATAATTTAATGTTGCCTCAGCATCCATTTTGTTTGGCTATCTAGCTTAGCCGATGACTTCTCCTTTTTGTTGCTCTGGTGAGGCAAGATAGCTCTTACCCCAAACCCACACACTCAGCCTTTGGGTCAGCTAGATTTCTAGATAACATTTCTTTGCCAGAAAGGGTTTTTAATGTTGGGTTGTTTGAAATTTTGTGCCTGCTTGTTTTAAACTGCCCAATTGCTCCCCTCGTCCCATGACACTTAGGTTTCTCACCCTGGACTCCAATAAATACAAGTGACCCAGGTCCACATTCTCCCTGCCCACACTTCCTGATCTCCTTGTGTGTCATCTCCAGGCATGCCACGTACTGCCCCCACCCAGGACCTGTAAGTAATAAAATGTTTGCGTTTTATTAAACACAATATGAAATGTTTATTAAACAAAAAAAACTTTATATAAGTTAATTATGAGTTGTAGGGTAGGTGATATGTTTTTTATTAAACATAAAAAAGTGTATTAAACACAATATAAAATGTTTGTGTTTCTCCTAATCATTGATGGGATGCTCTCCATCTTAAAGATCTTAAATTAATACATGACCTAACAAGTCTTCACAGCTTTATCAAAAGTTTTTGACTGCAAGTTTTCTTAGCTGAATGTTTCTTTCATTACTAGATGTTATTTGTGTGCTTATAGCACAGATGTATAATGATTAGACTATTACCAGGGGGCCCAAACATCCTGGTTTTCCCAGAATAGTCTCAATTTTACATCTATTGTTCCAAGACAATTGTCAAGATCTCCCCACTTTCATTCACACCAGATTGAACAATACAGTATATTGTGCAATTACCCATTACAAATAACTAGTAATGTGGAATCTTTCCACCAAGCATTGGTCAGACAAATAATTTGATCACTGAAAGTATTTTTCTTTCGCTAAGTATCATTTTGATTGAGGTCTCTTTCCAGATGGGTTAGTTGCAGCTGTTTTCTTATGGAGCTTCTTTTCTGTGTTGTATATCATTGTTCCCAACTTTACGGATACTCAGTGAAGCCTACATAATTCCATTCTCACCTTCAATGTTCTTAATCAAGTGAAACATATTTAAAGCTTGATAATCAACTTAGAGCTGTCCATCTTTTGTATTGTCTCAGCCTGGAAATACAACTGGAAGAAACATAAGTCTGACTACTGAAAATAATTAAGGAACATTTACATCTTTACAGTTTACAAAAGTGCCAAAATTCATAGCTTTTATTACATACAGTGCAACATCCTTTTTCCACCTTTCTCACATGTAGTATTTTTTCTCCAGATATTAAATAAGGAAAAGATTGTCCTCAAAGTTTTTTTTAATCTCAACCTAATACACAGTACCAAAAATTAGAGCAATTTCAACCCCTGTGGGTTACCAAAAGAGAATACATCTGTAATCAGGGATTTGTCATTGAAGAGGTTATCAAATGACTTTGATAAAACAAATATGAATTATATCTGCATTAAGCATAAAGACAGAATGAGAATGAAGAACCAGCATGTTTCTTTTAATGGGACCTAAAGAATAATCTGAAGGAATCATTTAGAAAAACATTCTGTCAAGAGGTGAGAAAAGAAAGGGACTACCATAAAATCAATCCCTTCCAAAAGAATAAAATAGGGGAAAACAGGTACTTGAAAAAATGCAGGAAGAAGGCACTCCTCTCTATGTGACCTACTCTTGAACACTTTAGAAAGAGCCCTCACTTACCCAGGCAATGACCATTTATTCAACTCTCCATGAGGCTGTCAGATTGCAAGAGGCAGCAGAATCTCCAGCATATCCGTACAAGTAATGCTAGAAATTTGTATAAAGCTAAACAAAACTAGTTCCCCCCAACTCTGACGTCTGAAAAAAAATTTAATATACTTTTCAAAATCCAGGAGATCCTATTGATTCAGTAGCAAGACAAACCTGGAGAAGACCTCTTTCTGTTCCATCTGAATGACACTCTTAAAACATCATTCTTCCCATGAGGAAGCAGGCTCTGCTCTGAAGAAAGGTTGGGGTGACAGGCACACTTCGTTCCAAGCAAATTCTATGACAGATGCATGAGTGAACTCAAAATATCTCAGAAAGGACCTTTCCCTTTTAAAAGGTCACTGCACAAAACACAATAAAACTGTCTCCTATAGCATGCTCTTTTTCCAACTGACATGCCTCGAAAGTGCATGAACTGAGGAGAACTTTTGTGCTCTACACTTGGCTAAGAGACTTTTAGAATTTTGCTTTCTCTTGGGTACTTGTATGTCTGTCCTGTAATATAATTTTCTAGGAACTCTGTTCTGTCCTCTGTTACCTCCTCCTGTTTGTGTTTTGGTTAGGTTTTATTTTTATAATTTATTCTTGTGATTTACATTTTAATATGACGCAACAAAGAATGCAGTTCATGTTTCTCACCTAATGATAAAGACATTTTCTACGTCCTCTCTATGTAGCAAGGGTCTTCTAAAAGCTCGTCTGGCCAACAGCTTCCTACTATGCCTCCTTCCTTCACTAGCCTTGTTGTGGGCATTCACCAAAACCAAAACACTGAAACGTGACTTTCCTAGTTGTGACAAGAGAAAAAATGTACATTAGGAAACAGCATAGGACTGGGAACCTGTCTGCTATAATTCATGGTCATCTACAATGCTTGCTTTAAAACATCACCAGTGAAAGGGCATAGGGCATAAAACATTGCACATAACCAACCAGTATATATATTTTACAGATCACAAGTGGAAGGCGGGAATATCTGGAATTGTCTGGTATTGTTGTAGCATCTTGGGAAAAAATGTGTACCTATTGGGTAGGTAAAGGAAGCTCAGAAAAAAAAGTCATCACAAAATGATACATTGAGAAACAGTTTTATGAGGGAAGAGAAATTCCAGGGACCAGAAGTTTATTACACACTCAGGGATAAGACAATATCAGAGGTGAGTATCATAATAATTGACTACTGGTCTGGTGCTTTAAAGGAGGTACTTTAAATCCTAAAAATTAAAGACATGTTATCAAAGAATTCAGAATCCATTCATTGATAATAGATTTTGTGATGCTCTAGGTATGTAATTATTATGGGTCAGGAAAGTTTTTGCCTTCACTCCTTTCAGAGATTCTACTAAATATTTATATGTTAAATATTTACACAAAACTTAATTATATATAAATGAATTATTTTGAAAGCATAAGTATAGTATATAATAGTTTAGCAGAACACAAAAGAAGTACATAATAACCAAGAAAGGGTGTGCTATTTTGGGATGAAGATGAAGATAGGTGATGGGAAGTTCACAACATTGGTCCCTGAAAGTAAAAAAAAATCTAAAACCTAATCTTAGCACACTTTTTGACTCAATTTTAACTTAGTTATGTGGTCATAATTGTGTTTACTGCTCCATTTTAAAACGTAACAGGCAGAAAACCAGAGTCTAAAATATGCTATAAGGTGACTACGAAATTGGTGGGAGATTTGGCAGAAATAAAAAGAATAACAAAAACTTCAGGGAGTCCAAGGGTAGAAATAAAAGATATGACTGAAAACAAAACCCAATGTAAGCTCCATGTATGAAACAGCTACATATGTTGTTCTCCTGTGCAGCCAAATATCTCCGTTTGAGATATTGGGAAACAAACAGCAGGAACAATTACAAGCAAATAATAATAATCATCCAAGAAAATAATAATCATGCAACCCCCCAAACCAAAAACCAAAACAAAGCAAAACAAAAATTATTGTTTGTTCTTCTCTAAAAAAATTGAACTAATTCCCAGTAGAAAAGCAAGGCTTTAGTTAGATGTTGGCATCTGGGAATAGCAATTTTCACATTCTTTTATGGTGGAGGCTCATTGATGCCAAATTTCACCTCTTTAATATATTGGATCACCTGCCCCTCCCTCTGTTTCCTCTATTCCCACAGTTCTCACTAAGGATAAAGATTTTAAGTGTAAATAGTTCTATTAGATAAAAAAAAAAGCAGTCTGCCATTTTTGTTTCCCTTAAATACAAATAGACCAGCAAGAATAATAAATATATTAGGAGATCTGGCAATATTATGGATAAAGACTAAGACAGGCAAGATGAAAACAGGAATAGTGTAAGAAATAAATGAACAAAGACAAAAGATACTCTAATAAACTTACACAAATTGGAGAAACTATTATAACCAAAAAATAAAAACAGAAGGTAAGGACAATTAAAATAGAGAGCAAGAAAGACTACTTAGAAACTAAAAACACAGTTGTTGGAATAAACAAAATAGAAAAGTAGAGGGAGTAAACACAGTAAAGGGACTCTCACTAATTTGACTAAAGTATAAAGACAGAAGTCATGAGAAAGGATAAGTCTGGAAGATCTAACATCCAGATATTAAAAGTCAGAGAAAGAGAAGAGAGAAAATGGAGGCGAGAACATATTAAAGAAAAGATAGAAATAAAGTTTCCCATAGCTCAATGGAAGACATTAATCTATAAACCAAGAAGTTTCCTTGAGTGTATATTGTAATAAGTGCAAAAAGGATTCTCAAGTATGTCATCGAAAACATGTAAATACCTAAAATAATGAGATGCTCCTAAAAGTTTTTAAAGGGAAACAGGAGGAATAAAACTAGTACTTGACTTCTCATCAACAACAATGGAGCAGAGCTTTCAAATTTCGAAAGGAAAACTCTTTTCAACCTAGAATTCTATCGTCGGCCAAAGGGTCACACAAATATGAGAGTATGCAAGAAACAGAACATTTACCTCCTGTGTGCTTTCTCTTAGGAAGTTACTTTAGGATGTATTATAATAAAACAAGAGGATAATTCAAAAAATAGGAAGCTACCAAAATATCAGATCTAACCAAGAAGATTGATAGCACCAATAACACCAAACTTAGGACATTAGCGATGCAGCACGATGTCTAGGAGTTGTAAGTCCAGTGTGGAGTAGGGAGAAAGACGACTCTAGAAGGGGGATATATTTGGAGTGGGGGAAAGCAGACCAAATAGACTAGATAATATGATAGAGAGTAAAAAAATATATATGAAGATATGATGCAGGAAAATAGAATACATAAAAGAAATGCAGCTTAATTTTAAGCAATTGACTAAATATAAGGAAAAAAACATTTATTTGAACTCAAATGCTAGGAATCTTTTCTTTTCAGTGAGTTAGAGGTCATGACATTGGTCTCTTAAAAAAATGTAATCCTAACATACTTTTTACCTAACATTAAATGATTTTTATGTGGCCATAATAATGTTAATACTGTTTATTGTTCTACTTTTAAAGTTAACCTTTGGGCAAAGATGATTGTATTTTTAGCAGAACGTGCAAATATCAACAATCTAAACACAGAAAGAGTGATTGACAGAAGTAGGGCCTGAAATGAGTGAGAAGAAGTTGGGGAAAGCGTATGGGACCAAGATCCTCATTTCATCTCGTGGGGAATAAAGAGAAAATATTGCAAGTCATCAGAACAAGAAAATGACTTTACGTGTTTTACTTAAAGCTTGCAGCTATGTTACAGTTATATAAATAGAAGGAGAAGATTAATAGAAGAAGGAGAGTCAAGTATAAATGAGCAAAATCCCCATCTTGCCAATTGCAGAGTGGATTGCCTAACTCTGACAGATCCAGAAATTATTGAGTGCTCTACCAGAAAGTCTAAAATAGCCAGTAAAAAAATAAAAAAATAAAAATAATTAAAAACACTTCACTAGGGAGTGAGAATGCCACTGAGGAAAATAGAGCAAGAGACTTCTACAACTCATTGGCGGTATTTTGATACTGCTTCATGTGAGCATTAACATGTGATACCTTGATAAGAAGTAAATATGTATTTGTGTGTATAATAATTTTAATTGTAATTATGGAGTGGTTCCTGTGTGCAATGCATGTGTTGTGCCAGGTACCAATATAAAGTCAGATCCTTATTTATTTTATAGGCTATGTATAACTTTTATATAGAGGGCTTTATAAATAGCCTTTATATACAGCCATGTATGTCCCTTTACTTATGAGTTTGAGTTATTGAAGATTTTCTTCTTCTTTCCCTATAAAATTTCATGATGAGCAATTAAATAATCAAGTTTAAGTATGGTCCTTCACTGTGTCCTTTTAAAAAAATTTAAATTGATACTTAATAGTTGTACATATTTTTGGGCTACACGTGGTGAATTAATACATTTGTATAACTTGTAAAGATCAAGTCGGTATAATTGGAATATGTATCACCTTAAATGTTTGTCTTTTGTTAATGCTAGAAACATTCAAACTATTCTCTTTTAGCTATTTTGAGATAGAAAATAGATTATTGTAAACGACAGTCACCCTACTCATCTATCAAATACATTTTTCTGAATTGCAAAAACACTACAAAGGTGTAAATACTGGGAACCTGAGGGTAAGGTGTCATTCATTAAAAGAAGGACAAAGCCCAGGAGGACAAGGTCAGGAACCATAAAGATATTTTGCTCACTTCACTATTTCAATAAGGCCCTTTATCTTCATAGGCTTTTAGCTTTAGAACCCAATAAGTACTTAGCTTATACTTACACAGGAAAAGTGAAAAGTTCAAAAAGACTGAAATGATCCTTAACCCAATGACCTAGAAGACAGGGCATGTTTATTAAACCAGTCTCTTGAAGTTAAAAGTTTACAAAACATGGGCAGTGGGGAACAGGAGTGGTAAAAACCTCTGAACATGAAACATTTCACTCAGCTCTCCTGATGTATCTTGTTTTGACAAATTCACACCCAGTGGCCCATATTAATGAGGTGGCAATTAAATCACAAGCTATGTCAGAAGCTGAAGAATGACTTTAGGACAAATGTTTATCGTTCCAGGCCATGTGCACACCTTTGAACCTTTGTGAAGTTCAAACATGCAGAACTCAATGCAACGCACCAGGCCTTTCACCAGTGTAGGACTCAATGCAAAATAAATAAATGGGAAAAGAAAAGCAATAGCTGACCAAGTATAATGTCATTATACAGTTGTAGCTTCAGAATTCCAGATTATCTTAGTATTTAAATATAAACACACTATGTCTATAAAGAGATCTATTCACACGAATTAGAAGTGCTTGCCATATTGGATTAGAAAAAGAAACTGATCATTTCTCATCAAAGGTCAAAGATAGAATGTAATTATTCTACTTTTTGCCATCTTTATGGTGAAGAAGCTGACATCTTTGAAGGTGTCCCAGAAACTGTATTTGGTGATTGCATATCCCTAGTTAATTGTAGGGTAGGTGATAGCAAAAGATTCTGGAGCCAATTCACAAATACTTCCAGGAGATGTTAGAAATGAGTCTACTCACTAATGCTAAAAAGTACCTGCATTTCCCAAATCATCTCTTTATCAACTTTACTATCTCTTTGCCATCTCCAAAAGAGAAGAATCCAGCTTTTAGCATTTTTTAAAATTTATTTTTGTACTTTTTCAAAGCAAGCCTTATTTTAGTTTCAATTTGCATTAAACACTAGGGGCAGAGAACACTATATTTCCCCCTGGGTCTCATATAATCTTGGCATTTTTGCCACTTCAGGAAATGTAGTGAAGAAATAGAGGTATTTTCAGTGCCAAGGACTGCAGTGAGTTGATTTACAGAATTTAAAAATAAAGGATATGATTAAACAAATGTGAGGTTAGGTCAGTAAACTATACATGTTTGATTGGCACATATGAACATAGCCCAGACACCAGTAAAAAATAATATGGGAGTAATTCTAGGGCTGGAAGGCTGAAATATGATTGAGGCTCGATGAATCAATACTATGACAGACAAAAGCCCAATCAATTATGTCATACACATTTTTGGAGAGAGGTAGTTGGTTGAGAAAAGCAAAGAAAAAGGAAAGGCAGAAAATAAACATTTTATTGCCCACACTGGTCACAGCGACTAAAGCAGTATTGTTTGACTAAAGCAGTATTGTTTTCTCGGCAAGGCCAGCCAGGTAGAGGTGGGAATGTTAAAACCATCTTAATTGGAAGACAGAAATTAAGATCAACTCCTTCCCATTGTTTTAAAGCCATATTCTCTCGCAACTTTCCGAAAATTTGGCATCCCCTGTCACTAATCTACAGGGAGACAATGAATTTATCAGGCCAACTCAACATTCTCGTCAGACAGATGCATTTCTCATTATAAATTGATAACTTGGCATTCTGATTACAATTTGGATCCCCATGTTGCTTCTCTATGGGGAGAGGAGTCTGTGAATTGTTGTTGACTTGAGTGCCATAGCCTATTTAACAGCTATATTGCTCATTGTAAATAAAAAACTTGGCATTCTGGTTTGTATTTAATACAATATGTGAACTATGTTAACATGAACCTGATTCTGAGGAATGGATCCTCTCCTACCTAGTCTGCTAGCAAAGACACAGTTCTCACCCTGCAATCCTGAGGGAATACGGCCCAGTATCATATCACCAAGGAAAACACCACCAAGGGGGCTCTATCTGGGTAGCCAGTCCCCGTTCAAGTCTTCCAGTCTCTGAGTATACCTCTGAGTTAAAAGATATAAGAAAGACGTTATTTTAAAGTGGTGAGTAAGAACACAGCTATTGAAAGCAAAAAAAAAAAAAAGTGTCAAAATATGTAGTATACCTTCCTATAGGCTTTGTGACAAGGGAGGAGGGAGAGAAGAGAAAAAAAATGAACTCAGATTATATAATTTGCCAAATGTCATTATAGTAACTTTAGGTTCTATATTTGTCTTCTGAGAAATGCTTTGCCTTACTGTAATCTCTAAAACAGCAGCTAGATTTTCAATGGAATTACATTTGAAGAAACAGTGTGGAGAAGAGAGCTTAGACAAGGCCCATAAGCATATAATAAATCTATTATATTAATTCCCAGAAGGAAATGACTTAATTCTGAATGAAAATGATCAATGTCAATCAGAAAATTCTTGCAACTGGCACATTAAATAGATATTGAAATGTGTTATATAGAAAGATATATTATTATCCTCAGAGCTCAAATGTTACACACAAAAAGTCACCTAAAACTATCACATATTATGTCTTTATCCTCAAATGTTTGAGGAAGTATAACAACATTCAGCTAGTGCAAAAGCTGGAGCTTCTCTCTGTAATCCCAGCACTTTGGGAGGCCAAGGCAGGCGGATCACCTGAGGTCAGGAGTTTGAGACCAGCCTGGCCAATATACTGAAACCCCGTCTCTACTAAAAATACAAAAAAATTAGCCAGGCATGGTGGCATATGCCTGTAGACCCAGCAACTCGGGAGGTTGAGGCAGGAGAATTGCTTGAACCCGGGAGGCAGAGGTTGCAGTGAGCCAAGATTGTGCCACTGCACTCCAGCCTGGGTGACAGAGCGAGACTCATCTCAAAAAAAAAAAAAAAAAAAAAAAAAAAAAAAAAAAAAAAAAAAGAAAGAAAGAAATCTGCTTTTCAAGGGAAATGCTTGCTTTTGAGGCAGTAAACACCCAAGTTTAGGTATACCTGAGATGGAAGATTATGCTGAAGAGACAGAGAAGCCTCTGGGTTGGTGACACTAATTTCTTGATATGTCAGAGTGTTTCTAAATACTTTTTGTCTTCATTACCCAGTTAATTACTACAGTGTAGAACTGATCTATAAAACAGCAATAGCCCTAACACCATAACAGCAGATAAATCAAACAGAAAGGAACTTCCAAAACTTGGTCAAATTTTTCCTGGTTTTGCACACAACTTCCAAACATCATCATCTAAATGCTTTAACAATAACACATGATTAACATACGCATTTGGGTATCCTTGGAGCTTAAAGCTTCTGTTGGTGACTGCAGGCCACACTTGTCTTTCTCTTGACTAATTCTTACTGCATTTATTGTCACATGTAATTGACTTTTTACTCAATAAGCATTCCCTCATTCAAAGTGCTAACTGAACATTTTAGCCAACACCCTTGGGGATACAAAGATAAAGATATTGACCACTGCCCTCAAAAACTCAGAGTCACGTGATGTGCTCTAATTACCACCACTGCACAACATGGTATTATCTTAGCCTGCTAGACACAGAGTTATGCCGTGAGAGTTCCCCTTGTGTTTATTTATCATTTCCATGTCTGTATTGGGAATTTCCATATATACCACAGTATACAATGCAGTGGTGGGCAAAAAGGAAGTTTTCTAACAGTTCTTTGTATCTGATTAAGGGATAAAATGCCATCTTCAATTGTAACTGCAGGAATGTACAGTTAACAATGTCATATTTAGGCCATTACATTATATCACATTTTAACTGTCTATATTTTTTCATTCATTTATTTTTGATAATGAGCCAATACTACTTCTGTAATCAGGAAAATATAACCAATGAAAATTAGAAAAATGGAAGTTAATGAGAAAGAACTGCTGAATGTTTCAAATATGTTTGTGCTGTCCCACAAACAGCACAGATATGTAGTAACATTTATAGCATTTAAAGAATATTTAGCTCAATGTGGGGAAAAAAATTCCTGCTTTGCCTGAGAAGAGAGCTTCTGCTCACCATGACTCCTCATCATTCTTTTTGCTCATGTATTCAACCTACTCTAGAAACTGTTATAACAACAGAGATGCAGTAAAAAGCCCTTTGCAATTCACCTTTAATCTTTGACCCTTGTTATGTCTGTCACTTTTAATACATGTGTTCTCTCCATGGTATTAGCTGACATGTTTGATAACTAAACACATCATGTCAGAGGCCACCCAGTAGCTTTCATGATGAAAAGAGGTTTGATCCCCAAAACATGACCCCCTCATCCTGGTTGTTAAGTCCATTTCTAGTGCTGCAAATTATTCCACAAAGCTGAGCAGAAGAGTGTCCCAGAGCATAAAGCTCAATCCGGACTTCCTGGGGGCTCTTCTTATTAATTTTATCCTCAATCCATGGCTACTAGTGAAAATATTATTGTATTCATTTTCTCATTCACTCATTCAATACATGCTTGTGAAGCGTGTATCGGCCTGGTATTCTGACTAGCCCTGAGGACTCATGGCAAGTGATGAAATGGACACAGCCCTCACACACCTTTTGGTCAAATATGGAGACTTAGCGGCCACAGAGCATCATTTCTAGAGTCAATTCAACCAGCCAGGCAATTCATGTCCCCTGGCAGTTAAGGGGTCTCCAAAATAGATCTGCATCAATCAGTTCTTCCATCAGCATTTCTACCAATGTTTTCATCATTCATTCTTATTCTTATGTACCTTAGCCAATGAATGGTTTTCTACTTTTAAGGAAGTTCATTCTATGTTTACTACCACAGTTTTCTGAGTATGTGTGGTGGTAGGAGACACAGTATAGCTAACCACATTGGCCAGATCAAATGTTGAGCTGAAAAGGGCAGCAGAAGCAGTAACCTCACCTTCTCCACATTCAACATAAACATGTAGGAAGAACCCTGGTTCTCCTCAGTTTCAGACTGTCTATAATGAGCATGTCATCCATAGAACTATGAGAGAACATAACTATTAAAAATTATGGCAAAGTGACTGTGATTTAGGATTTTGTCTTTTTGTGCTAACCCATTACAGCTAGCACTCTGCATGCACAAAAGCAAGGTAAACTAAGGGTTCTCATTCTTCCACATTTCTAAATGAGATGAAACTTGCTTTGATTTTGTTTGCCCACTCACAATTTGATTTCTGGACTTTACAGCTTGCTAAAATATAAACTCTTAAATCTCTAAGGTGAATACGTCCTAAACTATTTTTTTAGATTTGAAAACGTAGAGGTGGGAGGATAACTTGAGGCCAGGAGTTTGAGACCAGTCTGGCCAGCACCGTGAGACCCCTGTCTTTAAAAAAAATACAAATAAAAAATTAATGGGGCATGGTGGCACATGCCTGTAGTCCCAGCTACTCAGTTGGCTGAGGTGGGAGGATCGCTTGAGCCTAGGAGTTTGAGGCTGCAGTGAGCTATGATCACACCACTGGACTCCAGCCTGGGTAACAGAGCAAGATCTTGTTTCAAAAAAAAAAAAAAAAAAAAAACAGGAGGAAAGAAAATGTAAAGAACTTCAAATAGTTGTATAGCACAAAGCAAACCAACTACCCAACCATATGGCTCTTACAGAGATGGAAGCTTAATATCCCTTTTGAGATTCTCTCCTGTGTCTCAGACCTATTTGTATCTTACTACTGACTCTGCTATCTACCAGTATATCCCATAGAAACCCCAACTCAACATTTCAGTCATTTGCATTCTCTTGATAATAACTGCTCTTCCTCCTACTTGTCATGTGGCCTCAACTCACTGAGATGCCAGAAATCAAGGTACTAAGTTACCAAGTCCAGTGCTAAGTCTTCCAAGTCCAGTAAACTCTACTATTTTAATGTCTCAACAACCACTTATCCACCTCCCCGCTGCAAATATGAACTTCTCTCTCTTTAACTTAAAATACTATGTTGTAAGGATCAAGTCAAAACTATGTAGTAGGTCACAAACCAGCTCATGTGTGCTGGTCTTTTATTTGAATCCCCCTGCCCTCCAGCAAATCTCCCATCATTCCCCCTCTCACATCTTGTGGCCCAGGAATACTTGATTTGTTGTTGTTGTTGTTGTTGTAGTTCCTGAACACTGCATTCTCTACCTCCCTGGAGGCTCTCATGCAAATGTTTCTCTTTGCCCTTCACCTGGCTGAGGTTGCTGGCATGCCATAATTCTGCTCAGATGTAATTATTTGAGGAAACTTCCTTACCCTTTCTTCCCCACAACTGGCAAACTGTTGGAGTTAGATGTCCCTCCTTTGAGCTCCCACATTTACATACCCTGTCTTTATCAGTATCACAGCATGTAACACATAGAAATGACAGATAGTCAAAGTAGTGGACATCTCAAATACCCTGACTTAATCACTACACATTCTATGCATGTAACAAAATCTCACATGTGCCCCATAAATATGCTTCCTTATCTGTCTCCTAACATAAGACTGTGAGCCCTTCCAAGTTGGGTCCCTGGATTCCAAGTGCATGCACTGGACCTAGCATTGAGTCTAGCAGAGGTTGTTATACATTATTGGTAGTCAAGACGTATTTTAAATACATAAACGAATGAGGCATTCCTTTATATTCATTCTAGAAAATACACACATTCATTAAAAAAAATGAGAAACAAATATTTGGGTGAAACACAAGAGCATCTCCTGCTCCTCTTGGCATCTTTGGTAAGTCGTGAGGTTTCTGTGAATTTTATGAGGGAGAACATGGAAGGATTCCATATTCTACTTTATATTAAACTCTCTACCTACGCAGAAATCGATTCCACTCTCTTATCTCTCCCCTTTGGCTTTTTCATTTTCTGATCTGTAATATTTTCTCTGTGTTATAAATCATCTGTCTTTATGTTATACATTACACTTATTCATAGTCATACTTTCTACTTTCCCACAATTTCAGCTTAAATCATTCCCCATGATGGCTATCTCAGCCTCTGTCACATAAACTTTCATCTTCACTGCTCATTGCTTTGTTCCTTCATACCAAATTCCCCAAAGATAACCTCTTATCTTTTCAAACAATGCCATGTCAAAGGTGCCTAGACAGCTTACAAATGACTGGCCACCATAGTCTCAGCTTTGGGTACGGAGGAGAATGAAAGTGAGGTGAGGTCATGTGGTCTGTATACAGTTTTCTTCTTAGCAGAGAGAACACTATGTATGGTTGGGTATGTGTGGAGGGGGTATTCACAAGAAGCTGTCTGTGGAGGTGTGGAAATGGGAAGGTGGCAGGCATTTATGGTACACCTGCTAAAGACTTTCTAACCACTTTTGATCACATGTTTGGTCAATAAGCACAATTCTTACCTTCTATGATTAAAAAAATACTAGTTGTCAATTTTCTATCATGAAAAGAAATCCCCAGAGTTTCAGAAGTGACAGAACACCACGTTCAGTGGAAGCTCCCAAGGAACAATAAAACAATAACTCATTGAAGGTGTGATATCCTAGAAGTCAGACACGATGTTACCTTCCAGCTGCTTCCTAACCTATCTACTGGCAGAAAAGAGAAAATATATTTTGTTTGTTTACTTGCCAAAAACAGATACCAACTGACGCAATGTCTTTTAAATTTTTCCTTCAATATTTCTTTCCTTCCTGCCATTATGAAGCACTTTACTATATACCTTCCTATATGCTAACTTCTTTATACAAATAACCTTATTTTTTGTTACCACATATGATACAGATATTATCTCAGCTTTCAGGATAAGGAGGCTCTTCATAATCTATATTCCTAACCAAATGCAAGCTTTTTCTTCCTCTATTTCTATGAAGGATATTCTCTCTAGGATGAATGTAATAGAATCATCTTACTCATATTAGGGTGGGTAAGCTTTGGATCCCAACCCACCTCTGCCTGATGTAAATACTCATAGCACTGAGAAGGCTCAGAGCTCATCAGGAGTGTTGCAGAGACAGATCAGGCTGATTGGAGGGTCTGCAATGACAATTTCAGAAATTCTCCACTTCAGGCCATGACCTACATTGAAAATCATCATCTTCCCTTTCATTAGCAAAGGTTTGTAGAATACAGAACTGTCATTCAGAATCTTGCCTTAAATTTGTTTCCTCTGATGTTTTATACACACCCAATTTCCTTTTAAAGAAAACAATATTGTATTTCCTACACTACAAGTATCTGGAATACACCAATTACAAATATTTGCTGTTAGATATCATTTCATGCAGTCAAAATTAAGCTTTAAGGTTTCTTTCTAATGGTAATGAAAAGAAGATAGTATTTCTCAATCTTCTATTTAAACTAAAACTGATTAAATCTGTGACACCTTATCAAAAATTAGCCAGAGGCTCAATGAAAAATAAATAAAACAACAAGTGTTTCTGGGCTTTTCTATCTGCCTTCACCAGGGCTCTCAATTCTCACTGAAAGGGCAGAAATCTTACACTCAGGTGACTGGACTCTGATCATAACTGGATGGAATATATTTAGCATACGTCACAAATTTTTCATAAGCTTAGAATGTTAATGCTTAGGGAAAGATTAAATACAAGCAATGCCTGATACCAAGCTCTGCAGAGTCACATGAATAATCCATTTCTCAGGGTTTCCTTAGCTTTGGAGAGGCTTTTATAGCATCAAAGCTGAGCAAATATTTTGCAAATGAACCTGGCTTTAAGTGATCCAGTGTTAAATTCAGATCATTAGTGGAGGAGAAGCTCCTTCTCATCTCAAGAGCAGAAGCTTTGCGGTCTTCAAGTTCTTTAAATATTGACCTGGAAAAGAGCATCCTGAAAAAAGTATGCCAGAATCCACCATGGAGCCACAGAATGCTCTTTTTTTAGGCTTTCCATTTGGCCTCCCTTAAACCATCCCAAACGGTTAAAAATCTATCCTATGGGAAAACATATTTGTAAAATATACATTTGATAAGGGGTTCATATCCAAAATATATAAGGAACTCAAACAACTCAACAGCAACAAAACAACCCGATTAAAAAACGGGCAAAATATCTGAATAGACACTTCTCAAAAAAAGACATACAAGTGGCCATCGGGCATATGAAAAATGCTCAACATCACTAATCACTGGATAAACGCAAATTAACGTCACAATGCGATATCACCTCACACCTATTAGAATGGCTTTTACCAAAAAGACAAAACATAACAAGTGCTAGTGAGGATGTGGAGGAAAGGGGACTCTTGTGCATTGCTGGTGGGAATGGAAATTAGTGTAACCATTATGGAAAACAGCGTGAAGGTTTCTCAGAAAATTAAAAACAGAACTACCATATGATCCAGCAATCCCACCACTATATATATATATATATATATATATATATATATATATATGTATGTATATATGTGTACATATGCATGTACATATATTCATATTCATGTACATGTATATATATTCATACATATATATGTATACATGCATATATGTATATTCATACATACATACATGTACATATGTATATACATACATATATGTATGAATATATATGTACATGTATGTATACATATATATACATACATATATATGAAATAAGTATTTCAAAGAGATATTTTACACTTCCGTGTTTACCGTGTTTACTGCAGCACCATTCACAATAGTCAAGATATGACATTAACCTCAGTGTCCATCAGTGGATGAATGGATAAAGGAAATGTGTTACATATACAAAATAAAATACTATTCAACTGTAATAAAGAAGGAAATCCTCTCATTTGCAATTAAGATGGATGAGCCTGGAGGACATTGTATTAAGTGAAATAATCCAGGCACAGAAAGACAAATATTGCATGATCTCACTCATACTCAGAATCTAAAAAAGCTGATCTCATAGGAGAGAACAGAATGGTGGATTGAACTGATTGGAGGTGTTAGGAAGATGTCGGTTAAAGGATACATAATTTCAGTTAGATAGGAGGAATAAATTACAGATATTTATTGTACCATGGTGACTATCATTAATGATACATTGTATTCTTAAAAAAAAAAGAGTAAATGTAAAGTGTTCTCACCACAAAAATGGTAACTATCTAATGTAATACATATGTTAATTTGATAAAATTTAGTCATTTCATAATGTATATATATTTGAAAACATCAATGTTGTACACAGTAAGTAAATAAAATTTATTTTGTCAATTAAAAAATAAAAAGGAATCTATCCTTAAAGAGATCTAGAGAACAACTCTGTGACCAACCTCAGCCACACTTTTCAGGAAGGTAAACAAATTTCCTTAATAGGAAATTTTTCCATACAGCACAATTAATCCATCATGGTATAATTGATGCACACTTCCTTTTTTTTGTATCCTTAGTTAAGATGACAAATACTTATTTACCATTTATGTGAATGGTTTATATTCTCCTTTCAACCATATTTCTTCTAGAGTAAGTATTCCCAGCTGCCTTTATCTTTTTATAGGGGTATTGAAATCATGAAAAAACGTTCAGGTTGTCAGTAGAATGAAATTCATCCTCGCCTACAAAAGTCTTAAAACCTCACAGATGAGAACATTGATCCCTTTTCAAGTCTTTGAAAACCAAATGTGCCTTGGGTGAATTAGGTAAAGTTCCAACCAATCACATCTGTCAGTTAACCAGCTCCAGATATGCTGCTGGTCTCAAATAATCAGCATTGGTGAGGTTGTATATTATAACTCGGATCTTTAGGGAATAGAGAAAAACTAAAGTGAGTGAGACACTGAGAACAGATTCACAACAATGCTGGGCAAAAAAATACGTTGGGAAAATGAGTGTAGCCAGAGAATGGAAGCCATTCATTGCCTGCTATGGAGTTTAGAGGATAATCTAAAAGCAATAGTCAAGCATTGGGAAGACTTTTTTCTTCTAGTTTTATTTTTAAAATTAATTTATAGTCATATAAATCATAGTTTTATGAATTATATCACATGCATAGATTTATATAATCACCATGAGAATCAAGATGTGGAACAGCTCCATCAGTTCCCCCAAAACCTCCCATGCTATCTCCTTGTAGTCACACTTTTCCCCCACCCCAACCCCTGGCACTCACTGATTTCGTTCCACCATAACTCTGCCTTGTTGAAATTCTATATGATATGGTAGGTAAACTTTTTGAGGTTGACTTCTTTCATTCTGTATAATGCCTTTGAAATTCATCCAAGTTGTTGCACAAATCAATAATTCATTCCTTTTAATTGACAAGAAGTAGTCAGATACCACAGTTTGTTTTTCTATTCACCTGTTGAATGGCATTTTGATGATTGTCAATTTTTGACAAATATGAACAAAGCTACTATAAATATTCACATATGGTTTTTTGTGAACATAAATTTAAAGTTTGCTAGCATAAATACTAAGGAATGGCATGTATGGGTCATATGATAAGCATTTGTTCACCTTTCTGAGAAATTGCCAACCCATTTTTCAAGCAGCTTTGCCATTTTGTATCCCTATAATCAACGTATAAGAAGTCTAGTTGCTCCACATCCTTACCAGCAGTTGGTAGTGAAAGGGTCTTTCGTTTTGTTTTCTTTTTATAATTATCATTCTAGTGCTATGGCATTATCATTTTAGTTGCATTTCCCTAAGTTAAGCTAATGATGTTGCACATAGTTCTGTTTGATTACCTTCCCCATATCTACTTTGGTCGACAATCTGTTCAAGACTTTTGCCCACTTTTAAATCGTGTTCTTTGTATTTTTGCCATTGATTTTTAAGAGTTTTCAAATATATCTTGAATGCAAACCCCTTGAAGAATATGAAATTTGAAAAGATTTTATTTCTGTCTATAGCTTATCTTTTCACTCTCTTATAGTGTCTTTTACAGAGCAAAAGTTTTAAATTTGTATAAAGTCCAATTTAAATTATCAAATATATACATATATTTTCTTCTTAGATATGCCCAAACTCACTCCCTAACTCTAGGTCATGAAGATTTTCTTCTAAACATTTTATAATTTTGTGTTTTACATTTAAATCTACGATCCATTTTGAGCTTCTTTTTGCATAATATGTGAGGATTAGGTTGCATTTTCTTCTGTATACCAATTGTTTCCTATTGTTCCATTACTATTTGTTAGAACATTACCCTTTCTGCAGTAAGTTGCTTTTGCATCTTTATTAAAGATGAGTTGGCATATTTATGCAGGTCTATTTATGTCCCATTGATCTATGGGACCCACTGATCTCGTCTCTGATACCAGACTCTTGATTACTGAAGCTTTTTAATAATTCTTAAAATTGAGCACATAATTTCTCCATTTCTTTCAAGAAGTGCTTTGGCTGTTCTAGTTCCTTTGCCTTTTCATATGAATTTTAGCACTAGCTTGTCTATATCTACAAAATATTCTACTGTGATTTTGACTGGAGTTGCATTAAATCTATAGATCAACTCAGTAGAATTAACATGCTTAACAAGTTTAGTGTTTTAATCCATGAACAAGGTACATGTCTCCATTCATTTAGGTCATCTATGATTTTTTCATGAGGGTTTGTAGTTTTTAGCATACATATCTTGTACATGTTTTGTTAGGTTTATGTCTAAGTGCTTCACATTCTGAAAGCTATTTTAAGTGAAATTACTAATTAAGTTGTGCTTGCTAATTATTTATTGCTATTATACATAAATAAACACATAACCTTCTTATGCTTTTAATGCTATGGTGTCAGTAGTGGTGATTCTTCCATTTCTGATATTGTGTGTTTTATCTTTGTTCCTGTCAGTCTTGCAAGAGGTTCATCAATTTGATTAATCTCTTTCAAGAACCACCTGTTGGTTTCATTAATTTGTTCTACTGTTTTTCTGATTTCAGTTTTATTGATGTATGCTCTTTATTATTTTTACTTCTGATTGCTTTGTGTGTGTGTGTTTTTTTTTTTTTTTTTTGCTTTTCTTTATGTAAGTTCTTAAGGTGGCTGCTTATATTATTGATTTGAGAACTTATTTTCTCATAACATGAGCATTTTACATAATAAATTTTATTCCAAACATTGCTTTGCAGACATTCCACAAATTTGATATGCTGTACTTTCATTTCTATGCAGTTTGAAATAATTTATTTTTTTTTGACACTTCTTCTTTGACTGTAGAGTATTTAGAAGTGTATTGTTGAATTTCAAACTGTTCGGAATTTTTTTCCCCTGGCATCTGTCATTTATTTCTAATTTAATTACACTATGGACAAAAAACATATTTTGTGTGACTTCAATTCCATGAACTTGCCATAAATTTGTTTTATTATTTAGAATGAGGTCTATCTTCATAAATGTAATATTATTCCACGTGCACTTGAAAAGAATGCCTATTCTATTGTTTTGGAGTAGAGTGAGAAAAACATCAACTATATTCAGTCAGTTGGTTTTTTCCTTCAGCTTTTCTATATCAAGGCATATTTTCTGTTTACTAGTTCTGTCAATTTTCTAGAAAGTACTGTTGAATCTTCAAAGTATAATTGTGAATATTTCTGTTTGTCCTTTCATTTTTGTTAGTTTCTACTTCACGTATTTTGATGCTATGCTGTTTGCTACAGACATAGTTAAGGTTGTTATGTCTTCTTAGTAAATTGTTCTTTTTATTATTATTTAATGTCATCTTTATTCCCAGTCATTTTCCTTGCTTTGAAGTCTATTTTGTCTAATATTGATATAGCAACCTGAGTATTGTTTTATTTAATGTTTGCATGGTTTATAGTTCCCACCTTTTTACTTTGGGCATACCTTTGTCATTATTTTAAAGTGATTTTTTGTACATAGCATATTGCTGCATCATACATTTTTCTTTATTTATTCTGGTAATCATTAGCCTTTAAATTGGCCCTTTAGACCATTTACATTTAATGCAAGTATAGATATGCTTGGATTTAAGTCTACCATTTCATTATTTGTTTTCTGCTGGTTGTTTCTGATTTTTATTCCTCTGTTTTAGCTTTTCTGTCTTATTTTGTGTTATTGGATTATTTTTAGCATTCCACCGAAGTATATCAGGTTTTTTACTGTATCTCTTTGTGTATACAAAAAAAAATTTTGGTGGTTGCTCCAGGG
Organism: Homo sapiens; assembly: GCF_000001405.40. Lineage (NCBI taxonomy): Eukaryota > Metazoa > Chordata > Mammalia > Primates > Hominidae > Homo > Homo sapiens. The sequence goes on along the minus strand of NC_000008.11, from coordinate 32,043,759 downwards.
ATTGCTATATACATGCTTAATTTTCATGTTATATTTAGAATCAATACTTTACTTTTTCAAGTAGAATGCAGGAATCCTACTACCATCATATAGGTCCTTTTATATTATAGTAGATATTTAAATTAAATATGCATACTGGATAAAAACTGTATCAGCCAATGTCATATTTTTGCTTTTGACTCTCAAGTGTTTTAAATAACTCAAGAAAAGGATGATATGTACTATATTTATTTATATAGTTACCATTTCTGCTGTTCTTTCATGAAACTTGCTCTTCAGTTTATTTTCTTGTGTGTGAAGAATTTCTTCAGCAAACTTTTTAGAGGGTATCTTTGGGTTTTTGTTTTGTTTTGTTTTGTCTTATTTTGTTTTTAATCTGAGAATGTCTTTATTTTGCCTTAATTCCTGAGGAGGTTTTTGTTGGATATAATATTTTTACTTGACAGTTCTTTTCCTCCAGCATTTAAAAAATGTTGGTTGATTTCTTTTTAGCTTCTGTGAAATTTGACAAGAAATTTGAAGTTATTTAAATAGATTTTTCTCCACAAGGAACATATCATTTTTTTTCAGGCTTTTTTCAAGGTTTCTCTTTGTCTTTAGTTTTCAGCAGTTTCATTATGATGTCTTTGGGCATGGATTTATTTGTGTTTATTTTGAGTTTTCTGAGGTCCTTGAATCTGTAGGTTTATGTGATTTGGCTAATTTGGGATGTTTCAGCCATTATTTCTTCAAACATAAGGGTGTTTATATACGTTTGTGTACATGTTCATACACACACACACACACACACACACACACTGCACTCTTTCTACCTTTCTGGATTTTCAAAGCCATACATATCAGACCTTTTTATGTTGTCCTTCAGCTTCCTGAAGCTATGTTCATTTTTTTTGAAATCATGTTTCTCTGTGTTGTTCATATGAAATAATTTCTATCAATCTATCTTCAAATTCACCAATTCTTCCTCTGTCACTTTCATGGAGCCTTCCAATGAGTTTTTTTTTAATTGAGTTATTGTGTTTTTTAGTTCTAAAGTTACCATAAAATGTCTGTATTTCTTTTATTTCTTTGTTGAGACCTTCTTCCTTTCAATTCATATAAAGAGATTTGCCCTTACTCATTGGAACATTTTAATAACAGCTGCTTTAGAGTCAGTCAGGTAATTCCAAGATCTGTCATCTCAGTGTTAATGTAGGTTGGATTTCCCATGCAAGTTGAAATTTTCCTAGTTCTTCATATGCTGAGCAATTTTTCATTATATGCTAGACTTACTGAATATTATGAGACTCTAAGTCTTGTTTTTTGTTTTTTTTAATTTTTAGGTCTTGCTCTATCACCCAAGCTGGAGTGCAGTGATGTGCTCACTGCAGCCTCGACATCCTCAGCTCAAGTAATCCTCCTGCCTAAGCCTCCCAAGTAGCTGTGACTACAGGCACATGCCACTATGCCCAGCTTTTTATTTTTTTATTTTTTCTTTTTCCTAGCAACCTGGTCTCACTGTTGGCCAAGCTGGTCTCAAACTCCTGGCCGCAAGCAATTCTCTTGCCTTGCCCTCCCAAAGTGCTTGGATTACAAGAATGAGCTACCATGCTCAGTCTCTAAATCTTGTTTTAATTCATTCGAGAATATCAACTATTTTTTAATCAGGCAACAGATCCAGAAGGGTTATGTCCACAAGTTCTGACCAGCTTTCTCTTTTTCATCTTTATTTTAATATCATTTGCATTTTCAAACTCTTCTGAGCACTATTCAGATATATCCTGTATGTTGTGTCACACAATAGCCAGTCTGGAATCTGGGCAATGATATACCAAAATTCACTTTCAAAGTCTTCGGTACCCTATCTAGGACCAGACATATTCATGTACAATTTGGATTTGAGCCCAGGCACTAATAAATACCACTTATGAGGTTGGTCTCCTGAGGTTTTCCTTCTCTGCCATTTCCCTGGTACTTTTTGGTTACCTGTGGATCCTCTTTCCAATTCTTTATCTAGAAAATGGTAGGTCTATTCCTTCTTCTCTGTTACATGCTCTTGTGACTGTACCCATGTTGGAGGCCAAGAAGGAATACACAGAAAGAAAAAAGCCCTTTAGGCTCCTTATCTTGGGACCTACTTTCTCGTCCTGAGAGCTTTAGAAACCTGGGGACCCTCAGCTGCTGTCACCGTCACTGCCAGGTGAAGCTCTTCCTGCCTGTGTTGATGTCTACTTCTGAGCTTCCCAAGTCAAAGCTGGGTTCCTCCAGAGGATAAACATGGTAAACTCACGCCTGGTTTTGTTTTATTTTCAGGTCTGGTCTTTCTCAGTCCGTCTGCTACAATTCACTTTTCAGAGTCCTTGAAAATATAATTCATGTGTTTTGTCCAGGTTTGATAGTTGTATTCAGTAGGACAGACAGGGCACAGTATGTTTACTCTATCTTATTCAAAGCTGGAACCTCACTAAGGCTTTTTGAACAGGGTAAATACCATAATAAATGTAGTAATTAAGAAGGAGAAATCTTGTTGTGTGTAAGTTGTCTTTGACTGAAGAGAAAAAGACTGAAGAGAGACAAATAAATTTTAGCCTTTTGTTGTTAACTTCACCCATGATAAGCTTCTACTTGCCATTTTTCTATAAAAATAATTACAAATTAGATAGTCAGCTTCTACATAATGAAGTTATCCATAAGTAAAATGATTTTTAACATTCGGAAATTAATTTGGCATGTTACACATCATCAGATGTCAGAAATTTTTTCAAATAATCATTTATGTAGATACCAAAATAATATAAGAACATCAACAGTAAGAAGGGAATTCAATTTTTAAGGCTCCGGTTTTTAATCAATTTTTTTTGCATTCATCTTCTATCACTGAGTATTTCCTAAATAAAGCTCAGCAATACTGAAGGCTCAGAAGAATTTTAGTGCTAAAATAATCCATCTCTGAAAAAAATATCTTGGTACTTTAAGCCTAAACTTTAATATTTAGTGCTGAAATTTAGGCGCATATATATATATATATATGCGCCTAAATTTCATATATATATATATATATATATATATGCCTAAATTTCAGAACTAAATTTATATATGTGTGTGTGTATATACATATATACATATATACATACATATATATACATACATACGTGTATATATGTGTATATATGCATATATACATATACACACACACACACAACCAGACAAACACATTTTTAAAAGCCTACCAAATGAAATTAATCTTTTGTTTCCAACCTGACAAAGGACATAACATATAATGACTAACAGCAAGAAAAACAGCAGGCATTGTGCATACAGCCAATGTCTGCTTCAATTGCACATTCATATTCCAGGCTTAACTAAGTCATGAGTTGGCAACATTTGACTTTTTAAAACACAATAATGTGCTTTGACTTTCACTAAATAAAAGTTATTTTTGAATTCAGATTAATCAATTCCTTGAGTAGCTGTTTATGACAATTTAAATTGAAATACACATAGGCAAATGGTTGCTCAGGTAATCAACTAGGATCTAGAACTTCTAAGGAAGGTCATTTGAAAATCTTTAGGCTCTTTTTTGGAGTTTATTGGTATTATGAGAATGATGATAGAAATTCTTTAAAGTTGCTTTCTTCCCAGACCAGAATCCCTTTATTGTGAACTCTGAGGGCAAGGACCAGGTGGTAAGCACTGGAATAAAGTCATGACTAGAAAGAGTCTGTTTTTTGTCTGTTTGTTTTGTTGTTTTCTGGTTTTGAGACAGGATCTGGCTCTGTCACCTAGGCTGGAGTGCAGTGGTGTGATAATGGCTCACTGCAGGCTCAAACTCTTCGGTTCAAGCAATCCTCCCACCTCAGCCCCAAGTAGCTTGGACTACATTCACACACCACCATTTCCGGCTAATTTTTTTTTTTTCTATTTTGTAGCGATAAGGTCTTGGTTTATGGCCCAGGCTGGTCTCGAACTCCTGGTCTCAAGCGATCGTCCTGCCTTGGCTTCCAAAAGCACTGGAATAACAGGCATGAACCACCATGCCTAGCATTGACTGAGTCTACTTTCTACCCTTGATGAGGAGTTGAGGTTAAGATCCATGCCTGGGCCAGATAAGGTACTCAATAATGTTTGTTAAATTCAATTACTTTCTTAAAAGTTTGTTTAATTTCTGACAAGCCCCCATGTTGACAACGTTCATCAGTATAGCCTCTCTTTTCCATCTTTTATCATAAACCCTAGAAATAATAGTAAACATTCACATTTACTATAAGAACTGTGCTCAAAAACAAAACACAAAACAACATCTCTGTGTTTCCATTTTTCCAAGTCTCTGAGAGTTGTGTGCTATAGCATCTGAGAGACTAAGCAAACATACCTAGTGATTTTTCCATTGCCTCCTCCTCTATTGGCCCTATGAATTAAAGCAAAATTCTAATGACAGTTTAAGTTATTTGAGACCAACACTAGAATAACAATCGCAGGCTAACATAGACAAGAGGAAGGAAAGATTAAGCATCTGGTGAATGAATACTATATGTCAACAAATATCCTATTTGTTTTATGTACAGTATCTGATTTATTCCTCATAGTAAGCCTGTGGATTATTATTAACACAATTCTACAAATAAAAATACTGAGACTTAGACATGATAAAAAGAAATTAAATGAGAAAGCAATTTGTTCACTTTTAGTTTCGTAGCTGCAATTATAACACAAAGCCAAAACAAACATCCCAGAATTTGTGAATATAACCATACAGTTCCAGCTTACTTGTCCGGTCAGTGTTCAATGTAATGACATTGAACATTTTTAGATGTGATTTTTTTTTCCTTTTTCTGAGAGGATACAGATCACTTTTGCAATGCTGCCCACAACAGAAAAAACAGGCACTTGGACAGAGGTTTCCAGGGACAGCATTCCTCTTTCACGCAAGCAAAATGAATTTGAACAACAGGTGGGGCTAGCTTCCTTTACAAAAGACCGTAGCAGGACACAAATTCTCTCTGCAAGCCTGACTGCTTGGGGGAACACCAAGCCCTCTCACAGCCCCCAGTCTTAGTAACAGCAATACGTGCTCCCAAATTTCACATCCTTTCAAAGTCCGTATTGAATCAGAATTTCAAAACTTGGGGGCATATTTTTAAAAATAGAGAACTATACAGGAATAATTGATGGTAAATTTAAACACTTTTTAAATACTTCCTATTTCCTCCAATTCTATTAGAAAGCAAAATAAAACAAAATAAGAAATAAACAGAAACAGTTATTGCCATGATACATACTTTCATATCTCTTGTTCATTCGGTTCTGTTTCTTGCAGTGTCTGCAACAGAAACTCAAACTGAACCTTGAGCCAAGATGGCCAAATAGAAACAGCTCCAGTCTGCAGCTTCCACCAAGAACAAAAAGAGCAAGTAAATTCTGCATCTTCAATTGAGGTACCCAGGTTCTCTAATTGGGACTGACTAGATGGTTGGCGCAACCCACAGACAGTGAGGAAAAGCAGGGTGGAGCGAGGGCCCACCCGGAGCCTGCGTGCGGCAAAAGGTGCTCCCTCTCTGAGCCGAGGAAGCTGGTGAGGTATTGTGCTACCCAGCTCTGAAAAGCACGCTTTTCCCATGGATCTCTGCAACCCACGCCCTTGTGAGCCCACACCACCAAGGGCCTTGGGTCCAAAACACAGAGCTGTGCAGGCTCACAGCGGCTGCTCAGGTGGGCGACCACTTGGGCAGACACTGAGACATAAGAGTTTTTGCATACTCTAGCTCTGGGAAAACTAAGGAGGCAGGAGATCCGTCCACTCCTGTGGGAAGGGGGCTGAAGCTAGGGAGCCAAGCGGCCTTGCTCAGCGGCCCTGCTCCCTTGGAACCCTACAAACTGAAACCCACTTTGGAATCCCTGTCAGCCAGTGTAGCAGGTTGGAGACAGCCTAAGAAGACCGAGTTCGGTGGGGGAAGGGGTGGCTACCACCACTGCTGCTCCAGTCAGCCGTTTTTCCCTGCTGCAGGTGCCAGCGAGACTGGGCAGTTTGGAACGGGAGCAATTCCCCACAGCGCAGCACAGCAGCTGTGGACAGTTCCTGGCCAGACTGCTTCTTTAAGCAGAACCTTGACCCATTCCTCCTACCTGCGTGGGGCCTCCCTGTGGGATTTTCAGCATCCCTAGCCAGGGGTTTATGAACAGAACTCTGATCTCCCTGAAAGGAGCCCATAGGAGGAGGGGCGGCTGCGGTATCGTGAATCAACAATCTTACTCTTTTCTGCCTGCCAGCTCTGGAGAGTCAGGGCAGCCCTGATGAGGCGGATTCTCCTGAGTGCAGGACACCCTCTCCGCCAAGAGGAAGCCAGGCTGTTTATTTAAGCGGGTCCCTGATCCTGTTCCTCCTGAGTCGGTGAGACTTCCCAACAGGGGTCTCCATACACCTCATACAGGAGCACTCTGGCCAGCATCAGGTTGGTGCTCCTCTTGGGGAAAAGGAGCACTCTGCCATCTTTGCTGTTGTGCAGCCTCCACTGGTGATTCCTCCAGGTGTGGGAGGACCCCAGGTGAATAGGGTCTGAAGTGGACCCCCAGCAAATGGCTGCAGCCCTATGTAAGAAGGTCCTGACTGCTAAAAGAAAAACAAACAGAAAGCCAGGACAACAATATCAATTAAAAAGAACCCATAAAAACCTCATCCAAAGGTCAGCAGCCTCAAAGATCAAAGGTAAATAAACCCATGCAGATGAGAAAGAATCAATGCAAAAACATTGAAAACTCAAAAAGCCAGAGTGCCTCTTCTCCTTCAAATGATCATAACATATCTCCAGTAAGGGCCCTGAACTGAGCTGAGGCTGAGATGGATGAATTGACAGAAGTAGGCTTCAGAAGATGGGTAATAACAAACTTCACTGAGCTAAAGAAGTATGTCCTAATCCATTGCAAAGAAGCTAAGAACCATGATAAAATATTACAGGAGCTGTTAACCAAAATCACCAGCTCAGAGAGGACAGAAATGACCTGATGGAGCTGAAAAAACATAACATGAGAACTTCACAATGCAACCACGAGTATCAATAACTGAATAGACCAAGTGGAAAAAAAGGATATCAGAGCTTGAAGACTATCTTGCCGAAATAAAGCAGGCAGCCAAGATTAGAGAAAAAAGAATGAAAAGGAATGAACAAAACCTCTGTGAACTATGGGATTATGTTAAAAGACTGAACCTACCGCTGACTGGGGTACCTGAAAGAAACAGGAAGAACAGAATCAAGTTGGAAAATATACTTTAGGGTATCACCCAGGAGAACTTCCCCAACCTAGCAAGAAAGGGCAACATTTAAACTCAGGAAATCCAGAGAACCCCAGTAAGATACTCCATGAGAAGAACAACCCCAAGACACATAGTCATTAGATTCTTCAATGTCAAAATGAAGAAAAATACGTCAAAGGTAGCCAGAGAAAAAGGCCAGGTCACTTATGAAGAAAAGCCCATCAGACTAACAGCAGACCTCTCAGCAGAAACCCAAAAAGCCAGAAGAGATTGGGGCAATAGTCAACATTCTTGAAGAAAAGAATTTCCAACCTACAATGTCATATCTGGTCAAACTAAGCTTCATAAGTAAAGGAGAAATAAAATCCTTTTCAGATAAGCAAATGCTGAGGGAGTTTGTCACCACCAGGCCTGCCTTGCAAGAGTTCCTGAAGGAAGCACTAAATATGGAAGTGAAAACCTGTTACCAGCCACTATAAAAACACAGTGGAGTACACAGACTAATGACACTATGAAGCAACTTCATCAAAAAAGTCTGCAAATAACCAGCTAGCATCATAATGACAGGATCAAATTCACACATAACAATATTACCCTTAAATGTAAATGGGCTAAATGCCCCAACTAAAAGAATGGAAAGCTGGATAAAGAGTCAAGATTCATCAGTGTGCTGTATTAAAGAGACCCATCTCACATGTAAAGCTGCACAGAGACCCAAAATAAAGGGATGGAGGAAAATTTACCAAGCAAGTGGAAAACAGAAAAAAGCAGGGGTTGAAATCCTAGTTTCTGACAAAACAGACTTTAAACCAACAAAGATCAAAAAAGACAAATAAGGGCAGGCATTACATAATGGTGAAGGGGACAACAAGAAAAGTTAACTATCCTAAATATTTATGCACCCAATACAGGAGCACCCTGATTCATATAGCAAGTTGAGACATACAAAGAGACTTAGACTCCCACACAATAATTGTGGGGATACTTTAACACCCCACTGTCAATATTAGGCAGATCATCAAGACAGAAAATTAACAAAGATAATCAGAACTTGAACTCAGCTCTGGATCAAGTGGACTTGATAGATATCGATAGAACTCTCCACCCCAAAACAACAGAATATACATTCTTCTCGGTGCCACATGTCACTTACTCTAAAAATGATCAAATAATTGAAAGTAAATCACTCCTCAGCAAATGCAAAAGAACTGAAATAACAACAAACAGTCTCTTAGACCACAGCACAATCAAATCAGAACTCAAGAAACTCACTCAAAACCACACAACTACATCGAAATTGAACAACCTGCTCCTGAATGACACCTGGGTAGATAATGAAATTAAGGCAGAAATCAAGAAGTTCTTTGAAATGAGTGAGAACAAACAGACAACATATCAGAATATCTGGGACACAGCTAAAGCAGTGTTAAGAGGGAAATGTATACCACTAAATGCCCACATTGAAAAGCTAGAAAAATCTCAAATTGACATCCTAACACCACAACTAAAGGATCTAGAGAACCAAGAGTAAACAAACCACAAAGCTAGCAGAAGACAAGAAATAACCAAGCTCAGAGCAGAACTGAAGGCAATAAAGACACAAAAAACCTTTAAAAATAGTCAATGAATCCAGGAGCTGTTTTTTTGAAAAAAAAAATTAAAAATAGACCACTAGCTAGACTAATAAAGAAGAAAAGAGAGAAAATCAAATAGACACAATGAAAAATGATAAAGGGATATCACCACTGACCCCACAGAAATACAAACAACCATCAGAGGATACTATTAACACCTCTATGCAAATAAACTAGAAAATCTAGAAGAAATGCATAAATTCCTGGATACATACACCCTCCCAAGACTGAACCAGTAAGAAGTTGAATTCTTGAGTAGACCAATAACAAGCTCTGAAATTGAGGCAGTAATAAATAGCCTACCAACCAAATAATGCCCAGGAATAGACTGGTCTACAGCTGAATTCTATCAGAGGTACAAAGAGAAACTGATACACTTTCTTCTGAAACTATTCCAAACAATTGAAAGAGGGACTCCTCCCTAACTCATTTCATGAGGGCAGCATCATCCTGATACCAAACCCGGAAGAGATAACAGCAAAAAAAGAAAACTTCAGGCCAATAACCCTGATGAACATTGATGCAAAAATTTTCAATAAAATACTGGCAAACTGAATCCAGCAGTACATCAAAAAGCTTATCCACCATGATAAAGTTGGCTTAATTGTTGGTATGCAAGGCTTGTTCAACATATGCAAATCAATAAACATAATTCATCACATAAACAGAACCAATGACAAAAACCACATGATTATTTCAATAGAAGCAGAAAAGGCCTTCAATAAAATTCAACATCCCTTCATGTTAAAAACTCTCAATAAACTAGGTTTTGAAGGAACATACCTCAAAATAATAAGAGCCATTTATAACAAACCTACAGCCAATATCATACTGAATAGGCAAAAGCTGGAATCATTCCCCTTGAAAACCAACACAAGACAAGGAAGCCATCTCTCAACACTCCTATTCAACATAGTATTCAAAGTTATGGCCAGAGCAATCAGGCAAAGAGAAAGAAATAAGTGATATTCAAATAGGAAGAAAGGAAGTCAAATTGTCTTTGTCTGTAGATGACATGACCCTATATCTGGAAAACTCCATTGTCTCAGCTCAAAAGCTTCTTAAGCTGATAGGCAACTTCAGCAAAGTCTCAGGACACAAAATCAATGTGCAAAAGTCACAAGCATTCTATACACCAACAATAACAAGCAGAGAGCCAAATAATGAATATGAACTCCTATTCACAATTGCTATAAAGATAATAAAATATCTAGGAATACAGCTAACAAGGGAAGTGAAGGACCTCTTCAAGGACAACTACAAACCAATGTTCAAGGAAAAAAGAGAGGACACAAACAAATGGAAAAACATTCCATAATCATGGATAGGAAGAATCAATACTGTGAAAATAGCCATAACACCCAAAGTAATTTATAGATTCAATACTATTTCCATTAAAATACAATTGACATTCTTCATAGAATTAGAAGAAACTACTTTAAAATTTATATAAAACTACAAAAGAGCTCATACAGCCAAGACTATCCTAAGCAAAAAGAGCAAACCTGGAGGCATCATGCTATACAACTTCAAACTATATTACAAAGCTACTGTAACCAAAACAGCATGGTACTAGTACAAAAACAGACACATAGACCAATGGAACAGAATAGAGAACTCAGAAATAAGACTGCACATCTCCAGGCATGGTGGTGGGTGCCTGTAGTCCCATCTACTCGGGAGGCTGAGGCAGGAGAATGGTGTAAACCCGGGAGGTGGAGCTTGCAGTGAGCCAAGATCCTGCCACTGCACTCCAGCCTGGGCAGAAGAGCGAGACTCTGTCTCCAAAAAAAAAAAAAAAAAAAATAGACTGCACATCCACAACCATCTGATCTTTGACAAACCTGACAAAAACAAGCAATGGGGAAAGGATACCCTACTTAATAAATGGTGCTGGAAGAACTGGCTAGCCATATGCAGAAAATTGAAACTGTACCCCTTCCTTACACCTTACACAAAAATTAACTCAAGATGGAATAAAGACTTACATGTAAACCCCAAAACTATAAAAACCCTAGAAAATCTAGGCAATACCATTTAGGACATGGGCACAAAGATTTCATGACAAAATTGCCAACAGCAGTTGCAACAAAAGCAGAAATTTAAAAATGAGATCTAATTAAACTAAAGAGCTTCTGCACAGCAAAAGAAATTTTCATTAGAGTGAACAGGTAACCTACACAGTGGGAGAAAATTTTTTCAATCTATCCATCTGACAAAGGTCTAACACCCAGAATCTACAAGGAACTTAAACACATTCACAAGAAAAAAACTAACAATACAATTGTGGGCAAAGGACATGAACAGACACTTCTCAAAAGAAGATATTCATGGCTGAGTGAGGCAGCTCATGCCTGTAACCCCAGCACTTTGGGAGGCTGAGGCAGGTGGATCACCTGAGGTCAGGAGCTTGAGATCAGCCTAGCTAATATGGTGAAACCCCATCTCTACTAAAAATACGAAAAAAGTATCTGGGCATAGTGGCAGGTGCCTATAATCCCAGCTACTTCGGAGGCTGAGGCAGGAGAATTGCTTGAAGCTGGAAGGTGGAGATTGCGGTGAGCTAAGATGGTGCCACTGCACCACTCCAGCCTGAACGACACTGTGAGACTTTGTCTCAAAAAAAAGAAAATAAAAGAAAAAAAAAAGAAGACATTCATGCAGCTAACAAACATATGAAAAAAGTTCAACCTCACTGATCACTAGAGAAATGCAAATCAAAACCACAATGAGATACTATCTCATGCCAATTAGAATGGAGATTATTAAAAAGTCAAGAAATGACAGGTGCTGGCAAGTTGGGGAGAAATAGGAATGCTTTTACAATGTTGGTGGGAATGTAAACCAGTTCAATCATTGTGGAAGATGGTGTTGTGATATCTAAAACCAGAAATATCATTTGACCCAGCAATCCCATTACTGGGTATCTACCCCCCAAGATATAAATCATTTTATTACAAAGATACATGCACGTGTATGTTCACTGCAGCACTAGTCACGATAGCAAAGACATGGAATCCACCCAAATGCCCATCAATGATAGGCTGGATAAAGAAAATGTGCTACATATACACCATGGAATACTATGCAGCCATTAAAAGGAATGAGATCATGTCCTTTGCAGGGACATGGATGGAGCTGGAAGCCATTATCCTCAGCAAACTAATGCAGGAACAGAAAACCAAATACCACACGTTCTCACTTATAAGTAGGAGCTGAACAATAAGAACACATGGACACAGGGAGGGGAACAACACACACTGGGGCCTGTCATGGGGGGCAAGAGGAGGGAGATCATCAGGATAAATAACTAATGTGGGTTGCTGCCTAGTTATAAATGAAAGTCCCATAAAATAGACCACAGAGACTGGCCTGCCATCTTTAGACATGTGGCTACAAAAAGCAGAAAGGGGGAAATAGGCAGTGTGGGAGGGGCAGCTGCCCGTGCGGGGAGGGCAGATGGCACCAGTCACGTGCAGCGAGCTGCAGGGGCCTAACAACAAAGTGAAGAGTAAGTCTGGAGTGACTGTGCAGCAGCTGCCTGCATCATCCCAGGAGAAGCTTCAGTTATACAAAGTCAAAAACTAAAGAATGGGAAAAGGCCACCTACCTACCTTTGGAAAGAGAGATGGGCCTGAGGTCCTGGGGTGGCCTGGGCACAGAGGCTGCTGCCCATGGAGACAGAGCCTGGTGATGGATGGTAGCCATGGTAGCAGAAAGCTTATGACAATGTGATGCTAGCACAAGGGGCCTGTGCTGATGGCCTAACCCCAAACAGACCACGGCACCACCTCCCCAAAGAGACAGCTGCCATCAGGGAACCACTGAAATGACTTGAGAGCCAGAAAGCAGTTCTTCTTGTAGCCTTTAGGGTCTTCTATGATCCCGCTAGAGGGGCAATGCAGTAACACAAAATAACTGATCCTACCAGATGAGTTGACCTGGGGAAGTATCTTTCATTGAGTTGTTAGTATTATATGCTGGCTGTTTATTTATGTCTTGGGGGCTTGCATTTTATTTAAAAATAATTCCCTGACTAGAATTTTGTTTTTTAAAAGGAGGGAAGCTCTCAGCATTTTGTTTGACCCGTCTCCCTGCCTTTGCTCCATGCTTCTAATCTGAAATGATGCTAAAGCATGGCAGACGTATGCTGGGAACTTATTCCTTTAGTACTGCCAACTCTCATTTGTTTGAGCCACAGACTTTGTGAAGGGGATTAAGCAGAGGCAAAGGGACAAGAATAATTCTGCATATGATCATCCCCAACGGAGTCTCTAAAGGATATGGTCCCCTCTGTAGCTATGGAGTATTCTTTAATAGGTTTAAAAAAAATCATCCTCAGTAGTAAGTGAATATTTTATTTCACATATGAAAGAGGCTGAGGAAAGGGATAGAGTTGAAAAGGTGAAAAAGTTGCTTAAAATAAGGTAATTTATACCTTAGAAGCAAAGACAGCATCGGGGTGACTTTAGCATCAGTGTCTGGCCAAAATCTACTCTTTGTCTTCAAGTTTATTCTTAGCCTAGGAAGAGCAGAATAGCCATATTCCTATACTGATGGCATTTCTGAGATTCCCAAACCCAAATTGTCATCATATGATTACACAGATCCCCATCCTCTCAAATCAACCACATAACATTAACATGCAAGGCTGCCCCTAGGATTCACTGCCACTACAAATGTTAACTTTCACATATGTAGTATGACAGATCTAGAGAATGAAGATCTTCTTATGTGCACTGTATTTTGAAATGTATCAATGAGTCATAGTATAGACATATATTTATTATTCAAACAGTATAAACTATAATAAGTAATGATGATTGTGAAACCTATTAAATTATTGTAAAAATATTAAGGACTTTCAATATAAATAAGTAGGCAAATAGTTTAATAGTTATAATGAATATAAAGAGAATGTTTTATATAACTTTAAAAAGAAAAATATTTAGAGTCCAGAGATGTTCATTAAATTTTAAAATGATAATACAAAGCTGAATACCAGATATTAGATTATATCAGAATTTTAAAATTTGTGGCTTTTTTTTTTACAAACCAGCATTCATAATTTTAAACATAATTATTATTGAGACAAATTCAATTGTTAAGTATTTAATACGATTCAGGTCATGAGGCTTTCAAAATGTTTCTGCTTAGTAATTCTTCACATAGGTAATGTTAAATCGTATCAGATGTGGGCTTTAGAAACCTCGATATGAGTCCTAAGTAACAAAGTAAAACCTAACTTAGTACTTAAACAATTTGAAAGCTTAAATTAGGAATTTGCCTTTGTAACAAATAGTAAAGTATCAGCCAATCACAGCAGCCTAGCTTCAGTCAATCAACTGTTCAAACCATGTTCAAACAAGGCAAAGGCTGAGCTGTAACCAATCAGCTATCTCTGAATCTCACCTCCAATTTCTGCACCTCATTTCCATTTTCTGTCCATAAAACATTTCGCACCACATTGCAGCCTGGGAGCTCCTCAGAACTGTTTTGGTTCTAATGGCTGCCCGATTCTGGAATTGCAAGTAAAAGCCAATTGAGATCTTTAAATGAAATGTGTTGAAATTTTGTCTTTTTATAATAAGAATATATTAACAATGGCAGAATGTTAACTTTGCAACTCAAAATTTCATTAGTAGGAAAAACCACAAAATTGTGCATAACATTTAAATCATATTTGATCCCCACATAATCCAGAATATGAGAAATGCAAAGAAAAATGTGTTAGAGAAAAATGAGGTACGCAAATAATACTTTGTTTTCTTTAATCAAATTTGAAAGCAACAGACTTTGATAGAATGACTTAGAAGACACTTTCCTAAAGTGTGTTAATGAAGGGGAAGGTTTTAACAAAAACCTTGTTAAAATGACTACCCATAGAGATGAATGCCACTTTCAGGAAGTAATGATATTCTTAAATCAGTATACACAAATTATGAATCCTGCTACAAAATTATTTCTGTTCCAGTAAAAAATATTTACTAAAAAACTTTTTCATCACTCATTTCACTATGAATAGGAAGGTTAGTGATGTTATTAAATGTATCAATTGAAAGTGAGTATCTATTTAATACTGCAAATATCTCATGTTCCCCTTTCCACTGCAGGAAGAATCTAGCAATTTATAATCTTGAAAAAATATTCTTCTTGCAGTTTTTGAATGTCTAACTTTTGAAAGTTAGTGAATGAAATCATTAATTAAAATCTATAGTTATTAATTTTAGCTATTATTCCAAAACTTCAACTTCACCAACCCAATATTTATTTTAGCAAGACATTTAACATTCAGTTATTCAGTACACTACTATAAGATGACCTGAATGTTAATTCCAAATGAAATAAAATAATGCAAAACCCTGAAATGGTCTTGGAAAAATACATAGGCAAAGCTCTTATTATACAGATGAGGAAACTAAGTCCAAAATCAAATACTAAATGGCTGAGCTGATGCCATCATTCAGTTCTTTAATATTTCTGTCCTGCCATTTTAACATTAGGTCACATTCATCCTTACAATCAGAAAATTATTTGAAAAATTCTTATATTTTTCCATTGAACCATAAACCATACATATCAGAAATACCAGTTTAATTCTGAGATGCACAGTCCTAGTCCCCTAAAGTTTGGTCATTAGAAGAAAGAAACCACATTCAGGAATAGTGAGGCCAAAAAAACGGTATGGACACAAGTCCTTTGCGCAATTTTCTTTCCCTAACCATGAGAGCCATGTTCTTAAAGATTTGGGTGAAAATTAATGAATTAGTAATATAAAAATAGTAGTAAAGAAACTGATTATATTTTTAAAATGTTAGACAAACTATAAACTCTAGTTGATTAAGAACCACAATTTAGAAGTCACTGCTCCCTAAAAGTCATGGCAATGAAATAGAGGGAAAAATAAATGAAACTTTACCCAAGCAAGAAAAATGTCCTTTGTTTTTTAAGCCACTGTAATTTGTAGCTTTTCTGTTAGTTTAGTTTAGCTGCTCCTACCCGGAATGAAATAGTGGCTTAAGTCTCTTTGAAGAGAGTGAAGATTCAAGAATACACAGCAAATTTGAGAAATTATTCATTTATAGTATTTCCCAGGGGATTGGACAAAAACCCCTCTCCCATTGCACAGAAAAAATATCTTAGGAGACAGAGAAAAGGCTGCAGAGTATCTAAGACTAGATCCCTGCCTTCATCACCCAGTATTCCCATAGATTACAGACAAACAGATAATCCATGAAAGTAAATTCAGTTCTCAGACTGTATATTAAGTAAAGAAAACAAACAGTATGGTGAGAAGAGAGTCAAGAGGCCACCTACAATATATCCCACCTAACTTGGCATCTTAGGGACACACAAGCATGAGCAAAAAGAAAAGAAAACGCTATGGCAACTATAAAATCCTCCTAGATTAGGGAGGGAGGGAGGGAGGGAAGGAAGGAAGGAAGGAAGGAAGGAAGGAAGGAAGGAAGGAAGGAAGGAAGGAGGGAAGGAAGGAAATTTATAAAAAACATACAGATTTAGCAAATTAAAATATAAAAATAGAGACACCCAGCTCAATTTGAAATTCATATAAGCAACAAATAAATTTTAGCATATACATGTCCTAAATATTCCATGAGACATCTTTATACTAAAAAGAAATATTCATTGTTTGGCAAAATTATCACAAGAAACATAAAAATACTACTCAACCCTACTTGAAACTACCCTACTCACAAACTCATGAACCAACCTACTCAAAACTACTAATTCTAATATAATGTAATATAATAGAGGAATGTAAGTTCACTAAAACAAAATTCAAAGACAAAATAATAGAATAACAGAATTAGATGATAAAGGAGAGTACCGATATAAGGGGGAAAGAACTCAAAACAATAGCCTTATGAAACTAATACATAAATTAGAAAAACAATGGATGCAATTGAAAATTAAGTTACTGATACAGAGAAATGGGGATTAAGATAATTATAGTGAAGGAAGATGAACAGATAAGGAGATAAAAGCAATTAGAGAAAAGTGAATACTTTAAACAAAAAAATCCAACACAATGTTAACAGATATTCCTGAAGTAGAGAATTTAACAAATGAAAATAAATATTTATTCTAAGATCTAATCCAAGAAATTTCCTGAAAAAAAGCTAAGTAAATCTTTAGGTTGAAGGAGCACTCTTTCTAGAAAATGTGGTACAAAACAAACCCTCAATTTCTAGACCTAACTAAGTTAAGCTATTATGTGTTAAGGGTAACTTATTTTTAGGCATCTTGGGACTAAAAAGCCAATCGCCTATACGGTAGAATAACATTAATTTTATTTCAGATTTGTTTTCAGTAAAGTTGACTGCAAGAATAAAATGGAAAATTCTCCACAAATTCAAGGAAAGAAAATGTGAAGGGAGAGTATTATATGCGCCCAAGGCATGATGAAAGTAAAAAAGTAACAAGTAAATATTGTCAAGTAGGAAAATAATTCATAGAAAAAGACCCATGTAAGCCCTTCTTGGGGGAAAAAATAAGCAAAAAACTACTTTACCACAAAATCCAGCCAAAGAGATGAATTCAGCTAAAAATTCAAGAATGGAAAGTAGCCCAAAGACTGAAGAGTTGTGAGCACTGAATCCATTTGATTTTATTACCGGTAGTAGTCAACTGGGAAATGTGGTTACCATAGAGATTGCACAGGCGCCTGTAGTCCCGGCTACTCCGGGGTCTGAGGCAGGAGAATGGCGTGAATCTGGTAGGCGGAGCTTGCAGTGAGTCGAGATCCTGCCGCTGCACTCCAGCCTGGGCGACAGAGCGAGACTCCGTCTCAAAAAAAAAAAAAGAAAAAAAGATTGTATATGCTCTAAACTTAGTAAATGTAAACCTAACTGATAAAACTAATAGAAAGTGAAGCAGGGAAAGAGGACCTGAGACCTGTGGCAATATCTTCACTTTTTTTTTTTTTTTTTTTAGACGGAGTCTCGCTCTCTCGGCCAGGCCGTAATGCAGCGGCGGGATCTCGGCTCACTGCAAGCTCCGCCTCCCGGGTTCACGCCATTCTCCTGCCTCAGCCCCGAGTAGCTGGGACTACAGGCGCCCGCCACCAGGCCCGGCTAATTTTTTGTATTTTTTACTAGAGACGGGATTTCACCTTGTTAGCCAGGATGGTCTCGATCTCCTGACCTCGTGATCCGCCCGCCTCGGCCTCCCAGAGTGCGGGGATTACAGGCGTGAGCCACTGTGCCTCCACTTTTATGAGAGGGAGTCAATTGAGCTTGATAGGTTAAAATAAAAAAAAAAAAAAAAATCGACTTCCATGTTTTTCAAGTTAACTTTGGATCTTTTAGAAAAAGATACGTCTTAAGGTGAAAATAAAACATTTATTTGAGGTCAATAGTTCCTCTAAAAGCAAAATTTCAGTTTTAACCTTCTGTTAAATTAAAATATCAATTATACTATGATCTTACTGTCTGCCTACATCGATGCATGTCTATATATCCATCTATCCATCAGTTCATCCATCTTGCCATTATTTGATCCAGAAATGTACAAAGAAATATATCATAGAATTTTATGTATCTAATGGTAATTGTGAGTCTTTCTCTGTGGTTTGAGACTTTTTTTTTCTTACTAGTTTGATGCATTGTTTTAATTGTTTTTAGCAAAACAACATAATGAGTTTTGCAAAAGAAAAAATGTAAGCAAGCAAAAATGACCAGATGGTAAGTCAGATTAATTCTGAAAAATAGGAATGTAGATTAATTACATTTTAACCTACATATTTCAGCATTTTTAATATTTACAAAGTAAGATGCTCCCTTGATCTCACCAGAGAAATATAAAATGAAAAGTGACAGATCTGTCTCCTCCAACATCCCATTCCCATTCTTCAGAAGTAACCACTGTTAATTGTGTACTCTTCCTTCTAGAAATTTTATTTGTATGTATTAATATATACGTAGACATAGATACAGATATATCTTTTTTATATAATCAGGATCAAACAATTCTCAAATTCTTTCTAAACAGGTTAAAAGACAGTATATAAACTGAATTAATTTGCTTACTGTTCTTTATTTTCTCTATACTTTTGGGATCATTTTCACTCACAGGTTCAATGAAATGGTGGAAAGTTCCTTTTGATCTGTAGGAGATAATACATAATTAAAGAATATTTTACTTCTTATTCTTTTGTGACTGGCTTTCCATTCAGATTTTCAGTTCTTTCTTGATTTCATGTTTCTGAATTTTTGATTCCAGCTTTCTGGCTCCCGCAGGAGTCTCAGAGATGCCAATTTACTATGGTGCTTGGTAAAGATGAAAAATCAAGCTTGAGGTAATTTTTATTTAATAAATCTCCATTGGCTCCAAAGGCTATTTCCCAGCCATCTTCCAAAATATACATAGTGTTATGTAATATTAGTTCCACTCACGATAACTCCATGCCAGAGCACATTAGAACACAGCCAAACACTGTAGCCTTGCTTCCTTCCTCTGCCCTTCCGCTCCCCTTTGCATGCTACGTGGTTTCCCACTCTGTCCACCACTCAAAACTTAGAACTGTAGTTCCAAGGCTTGGGCTCATTTTCATCTGTTTTCTTGAACTCAAAGGCTCACTTTGCAACTTTCCACTCACTTCCCTTTAATACAGCAGTGATGCTCTTACAGTTTTGCAGAGGAACAAAGTATAAGGCTCTAACTCTCCCGATTCAAGACATGTATGTAATGGAAGTTTTCAACTGGAATCAAATTACTGTATTAGGCAGGATCACAGAATGTAACAGGAACTGCCTGAGAAACTGCTTGGAAACTACAGTTTAGGCAGGGCAATGAAGCCCAGGATTGCTCCCAAAAAGGACCTGAAAGACCCATTGATAAGAGGCAGCAGCCAGTGTAACCTCTTGGCCGCATAATGTTAAGTGCTCTCTTCTGCCTCCTGCTAGGAGTTACTTTTCTATGTTTGGGATCCAAACTAACCCAGCGGTATTCCAATGCAAGCAGGGAAACAGGTGAATGTCAAATCAGTGCTGGCTGCAAGGTCACTCTCTCACAGCTCATGTTCTTTTAGGGAGAGTTACTGCAAATCTGCAGCTACGCTCTTCTGCCAGTCCCTATTTGATCGTAATTAAATGAAGCTTGAGAATCCTGCCTCAAGCCTTTTCTTTCTTCCAGAGAAGGCTGAGTGTTGGTTTCTCCACTGCCAGGCATTCTCTCTCCTGGTGTTTTTGAAATCTCAGGACCAATGGGCGTCTGTCTGGGACAAGGCACCACTTCCCTCTCCTTAACCTTTCCCCTCACAATCTGGAAGGACTGGAGCTGCTTCTGATTTTCAGTCCCAGCAGCTGGCCACCAGTGGGTTCACCTCAGCCATTAAAATGCCAAGTTGAGTTTCTGCAGAAAACCTGGTGACGCTTTGGCCTGCAGCTGCAAGTGGAACAGATGAACTGCTAGCCCAATGCAGAGTCGTTCATCATACTTACTTGCAGCTGTTCCCAAGTTCATTCACTTCCTTTCCTGCACATTCCAGGATTTTTCTTTGCGGCACTATAAATCAAGTTTCATTCCACTTTTGTGGAATTTTCACTTTTTGTATTTTAAAGGAAAACTTCGAAACTCAATGTCTTATAACATCCTTCTACTCTTGGCCATTTCTTGAACTGCGTTTCCAGGAAATCAGAACAGTGTGATTCAGAAGGAATTTGAAGGGAAATGTAAGGTAATGTGTGTAAAATTACATTACATAACTAAAATCAGTTAAATGTTCCAAATGCAAGCTCTAATGATTCCCTGAGATGGGGTGCAGGTAAATATCCAAATCACTTGATATACATGATTATGAATTAATTTCCAACACTGAATATATGCACATAAATATGTTGCATATGCATCCGTCTCAGTAGAGTAAAAAATCAGATGATTTATTTTATGGTACAAATATATGATAATCCAAAAGGTTGTGCTGAAACAAATTTTGAAATCTGTGCTCCCGTGCACATTAAATGGTGAGTCTGTTAAATCTCCTTATTGTTGAGTTATAGAGATAATAGCATTTAGCACAGACTCTGTGGTTCAATGATTAAGTGAATTAAAACAAAATGTTCAAATATTGAGGTATTGTGGACTCATTCATTTCATACATGAAATGATTGTACCAGGTACAGTGAAAAAAATATATACAATTATGAGGTCTTGAGCTACAATTATTTTTTATCTAAGGACTAACATTAAACAGGTCCAGTTGATTGTATACGTCATATAAAATGGAGTTGTCAATTAATGTGTCAATAAAATTTCAGATAAACAATGTCCTATTTACTCTGAATAGTTCCCTCTCCCTTGCTGTTAGTAGATTGCATTAGATTTTAGAATAAGTTGCATGTCTTGTAATTTGAATATACTCTAGACCACTTAATAGAGCTCTCTGATACTAGATTTACCTTTAAGTATCAAAATTTCAGCATTACAGGTCTATTTGCATGTGTGGCTCATGTAAAATAAATCATCTGATTTTTTAAGCTTGGCATAGAGGAAGAAATAAAGGCTCTGGTAACATGACTGACAGACTCACTGGAAGCAGTCCCATCTATGTATTAGGCACATTGATTAATAAATACTTTCAAGTGAATTAAATGAAGAGTTAGAAGATTCAGAGAACGCTCTGACTTAAGCAATAAGTCAAGCAAAAAACTCTCTCTTTACCTAATGTCTACCTCTGAAATTCACAGGGACAATTTTACCCTTTGCATAGAGGACTTAAAGCCCATAAATAACAGTCGTGAGATTAAATGCCCTTTAGTATATATGACTAAGAATTTATAAAGGTATAGTTTAAGACCTGATATAACAACAACAACAACAACAAAATACCTGGAAAGTTTCACTTATAAAAGTGCTCAGACCCAAATCTAGAACAATAAATAGAAAAACACCAACCACTTCTGCCTCTGAGAGCCTCCAAATTGCCATTGATAACTATGGATATCTGGCAACTCAGTTAATTTACAGGTAAGAAAAAAAGCAAAAGAGAAGAAGGAAGAAGGAAAGGAAAAAAATGTTAACATTATTTTCACTATGTTGTGCAATTAATGAAAATAATACCAATGAATATTAATTTGCATTCTATTTTAAATTTAGGGTAAATGTTGTATGTCCATGCAGCCAGGTAAAAATAATTTGAGTTAATAAAATATTAAGATTGATAGATACATTTTTTATGATTCTGAAGGCTTTTAAGTGTTGTGCTATGTCTCAAAGTTATATATGTTCACATGTCTGGTTACACATTAGTAGAGCTTTTTCAACTTTTTGCAATGCTTTGAATATGGTTGGTTTGTTCTCATCAAAACTCATATTGAAATTTGATCCCCAGTGTGGAGGTAGGGCCTATTGGGAGGTGTTTGGGTTATGAGGGCAGATCCTTCATGAATGGCTTGGTGTTGTTCTTCTGGTAGTAAGTTCTCACTCTCGCAAGACTAAACTAAATTAGTTCTTGAGGAAATGGGTAGTTTCCACCAGAGTGGGTTGTTACAGGGCTAAGATGCCTAGCAAACTTTCCCCTCTTCACACATGTCTGCATCCTCTTTGACCTTCTCTGTCATGTTATGATGCAGAATAAAAGCCCCTGCCAGAAGCCAGGGTCATGCCGTTGAACTTCTCAGCCTGCAGAACTGTGAGCTAAACAAACTTCTTTTCTTACAAATTACTCAGTCTCAGGTGTTCTTTTGTAGCAATACCAAACAGACTAAGGCATTTTTTCTGAAAAAAATAAAAATCAACTTTGAATATACTTGGAATGTTAACTATAGCAAAATTATGGCAAAATGTAGTGCTGTTTAAATGGCAGCTTAAACATATAACGCAATTTCAACTTTGAAAATAGTAATGGACTTGTTTTCTCTAAAGCAATAAACATATATTTATTGAGACAAGGCATTATGCTAGTTGCCTTAAGAGATTCAAAGAAATTTAATACAAATACAGGCTATCTTTGAATTTGTGTTCATAGTGTAGAGTAGAAGCAATTCATATAAAAATTGCTTAAAATTTAAAGCAATACATGGTAAATCCCAAATAAATGAATAGAAACTAAAGCATTATAACAGTTCATAAATTATACTTTCCTAACAAATATTTTCTAGAGTTGAAAGTGAAATACAAAGGTATTCTGAAATGCAAGTGTTTGCTTTATAAGTAATGAAATATTTGTTATAAATTATCCTTTTCAGCAAGGAAGAATCATGTAGAGGCCAAAGAAATTCAATTAAGCTTGAAATAGCCAAATGTACATTGTTGTTTTACTAAATACAAACTATGGTTTCACTAGAGAATTAATAACATGATACCATAGACTGAGTGCATTTCTGATGGTGGGGACAAGACAAGGATGTCTATTATCACCCATTCCACATTATACTGGAATGAAGCATTGCAATAAAGCAAGGAAAGGAAATAAAATGTACAAAAATTGGCAAGAAAAAATAAAACTATCATTATTTACACATAACATGGTCATAAACAATACTAAAGAAACAATGACTAATAAGGGAAATTAGTAAGGTTGCTGGCTAGGCCAACATACAAAAATTAATTGTATTTCATATCCATGAATTTCATATAATAATAACAATTATAGTGAGATAAAAATACCATTTAGCATAGCATCAAAAACAAATACTTAGGAATAAATCTAATGAAACATGCATAATACATCTATTCCAAAATAGAACACATTAGTGAAAGAAATGAACTAACTAAATGCAGATGTTATTCCATGTTAATAGGCTGCAGAACTTGATATATTGTTAAGATGTCAATTTCCAACAAACTTAAACTCATCCACGGTTTTAATGCAATAGCATTCAAAACCCCAGAAGATTTATTTTGGGGGGTAGGCATGGGGAGGAGGTTGTCAATCTGATTCCAAATTTATTTAAAAATGGAAATAATGTACAATAACAAAGACAATCTTAAACATGTACAAGAAGCTGGAGGAGTTTGATAATGAGTAAAGATAACAGAATAGACCAAACGAGCATAATAAACTACAGAAATAGACCTGGAGACCCACAGGTATATGGTTTATGATATAGTCACCACTGCAAATCAATGGGAGAAAAGGATAGTCTTTTCAATAAATGGTACTATAGCACTGGTTATCTGGTACTATAGCAACTGTGTGGAAATAAAAACCTTGGTCCCTGTTGCATATCATAATTAAAAGTAAATACCAGGTGGATACAGATCTAAACACAGAACTAAAACACCAACCATCTAGAAGAGTAGAAAAATATCTTTGTGATTTGGCAGGTAAGCAAAGTTTCAACAAACAAACACAAAGAACTAAACACAAAAAAGGAAATTATAAATTGGGCTCTATCCAAATAAAGAAATTTTGTACATCAAAAGACATTATTAATAAAGTGAATAGGCAAGCCATAGAGTGGAAAAACATATTACACAGTACCTGTACACATACATTACAAAGTACCTGTAAGCAGAATATAAAAAGAATTCCTCCATGCCAGGCACGCTGGCTCATGCCTGTAATCCCTGCTGTTTGGGAGGCCAAGGCGAGCAGATCATGATGTCAGGAGATTGAGACCATCCTGGCTAACATGGTGAAAACCCGTCTGTACTAAAAATACAAAAAATTAGCCGGGCCTGGTGGCAGGCACCTGTAGTCCCAGCTACTCGGGAGGCTGAGGCAGGAGAATGGTGTGAACCTGGGAGACGGAGCTTGCAGTGAGCCAAGATTGCACCACTGCACTCCAGCCTGGGTTATAGAGTGAGACTCCGTCTCAAAAAAAAACAGAACTCCTCCAAATCAATAAGAAAGATGAACAAACCAATTTTTCAAAGGGCAAAAAATCGAAAGAACATCTTCACTAAAAAGATATTCAAACAGTTGAGGCCTATGAAAATGTCCCAAACATCATTAGTCATCAAGAATATGCAAATTAAAAACCACAATATGATACCAACTTACATCCACTAGAATGGCTAAAATTAAAAATACTGACAATATTAAATGTGGAGCACCTGGAACTCTCATACATTGTCAGTGAGAATATAAACCAGTTCAACTATTTTGCAAGAGTCTGGCAGTATCAATTAAAGCTAAATATACATCTACCTATAGCAATTCCACTTCTATCAGTATGCATGCCCACCAAAAGACATATACAAGAATGCTTATATCAACTTTATTTGTAACAGCCCTTGGCTGGAATCATCCCATATCTCCATCAACATGACAGTGAAAAAACAACATACATTTCATACATTTAGTGGAATATAAAAGAAGATAAAGTACTGCTGTGTGAAAGAAAATAGATGAAAATAAAAAGCATTTTACTCAGAGAAAGAAATAAGATACAAAGAGTACATATTTTCTGCAACAATCTATTTTTGGCTCATAAACAGACAAAATTAATATAGGGTAATAGAAAATACAATAGCTATTACCTTTAAATATGTAAAACATTTTCAAGATGTACTACTTAATATTGGTGTACTTTACTCAATATAAACAACAAATCAGTTAAGAAAAGGAATCCTAAAATGATGAGATAAAATAATCTACCTTTCAGTTGAACACTTGGGAAGTGAATAGTTCAGTTAATTCTCTGATCAAGTAAAAGTTGTTTCCCCTCGATGTTCTTCTTAATTACATTAGACAGAAGTATAGGAAGGAATGATGTAAGGGAAGAATAGGACAATTGGGGTTGAAATACTTTTTAACTTCACTTAGAAAAAATTGGACAACCTATGCATGTGTCTGTGATATTATAAAACATGTATCTGGTCTTTGACATCATTTCCTGGCACACAATCCTAAAATTCTTAGGGTTTCCAAAATGATATATTTTCATATTCTAATGATTTGACTGAGGACTGGCAACCCCTAGGTAGCTTTAGGATGGAGACTGGTCACCAAAAGATGACCAAGGCAGAATTAGAAGGTTGGGATTTTCAGTCCCACCCCCAACCTCCAGGGATGGGAGACAGGCTGAAAGTTAAGTTGCTCACCAATAGCCAATGGTTTTGTCAGTCATGCTTTCGTAATGAAGCCTCTGTAAACACAAAAAAGACTAGGTTCAGACAACTGCTGGAGAGCCAAATGTGTGGAGGTTCCTGGAGGGTGGTGTGCCCAGGAGGGAAGCTCCACATCCTTTGCCCCATGTCTTTCCTTACGTATCTTTTCATCTGTACTCTGTAATATCCTTTACAACAAACTGAGTCACGTCTTTTTCTGAGTTCTCTTAGCTACTCTAGCAAATTCATTGAACACAAGGAAGGGGTCATGGGAACCCTGATTTATAGACAATTGGTCAGAAGCGCATGTAAAACAACCCAGGGCCTGTGACTGCCATGTGAAGCGAACGGTGGTCTTGTGGGACTGAGCCTTTAAGCTGTGGGATCTGATGATATCTCCATCCAGGCTGTGTTGGAATTAAACTGGATGACACCCAGCTGGTGTCTGCTGCAGAACTGATTGATTGCCTATTGCTTGTTGGTGTGGAGAAGCTGCTACACATTTGGTCACAGAAGTCATCTGTGTTGATTGTTGTGGTGTGAGAGCGGAGGGAAAACAGTTTGTGTTTTTTCCACTCCGAGTCTACAATACAGTTTTTCCACTCCAAGTCTACAATACAGAGTACGACTAAATGTATCAAGTTCTAATGTTGTTTCTATTTGTCCTTCCAAATTGCAAAAATATGCAGAGATAAGGCTTTTCTGGGTACTTTTAATGTACTTTTTCTGAATGTCAACTGTAAAATGAAGGAAATAGCTACGCTCTTCAGTGCAGAGAGCAGAAGCTAGTCATAAATAGTAACCATTCCAACATTTTCCTCTCTGTTTTGATGCTTTAACATCTTCTGAATTAATATGTTTCTTAGAGTTTGGAATCCTAGAAATAGTATTTGTGCTTTTGATGGCATTTCTCTGGAAAATCTTGGAGAGAAATATAAAATGGCAAACGATGGTATGATTCTTGGAGTGGCTTTGCTGCTGAAGTGTCACTATTAATTGTACAGGCTGTGCTCACACAACAGCCTCTGATTGGGATCATTTTATTGTTATTACCAAGTTCAGTTACCTACCACCATCTCCCAAATCCTCGCTTAAATTTTTTTTCATGTTTTCTATTCATAGAATCGGGCCTTTAATATGGCTGGTTATTATATCCAACATTTAAATTGGGAATGGAAATGACTGAGAATAAACAACGGAAAACTGTAGATTTGATGGTACAGAGAAAGATAAATTCTCAAATTTTTTTTCTATTATCATCCTAAGAAAGTATTAACAAATGAAAGACAGAACAAAACTCATTGTGTAACATATGCCTGCTATGTTTTTAATATAAAAAATAATTCAGGCAATCTCTTGTAATTTTTTGAAGTAGAATCTGAATTATATTGGTCAAAACAGCTTGATAATTATTTTCTGATTATCTTCCTTAAAATGGCTTAGTGACATATATATATATTTAAAGCACTAAATAAATTATTCCATGTGGCTCCTGCAGACAGAATTAAGAAGTTACAGAGGCCAGTCACAGTGGCACAGACCTGTAATCCCAGCACTTTGGCAGACTGAGGCAGGAGGGTTGCTTGAGGTGAGGAATTCGAGAACAGCCTGGGCAACATAGCAAGACCCCATCTCTACAAAAAATAAAAATAAACAAAAGAAGTTGCAGGAATATATATATATCTTTTTCCTAAATAGACTTTGAGAGATTTATTTATACCTGAAACAGCCTGCCCCTCAAAGCAAGACCTCCATCACTGGACATCTGAATGTTATGCCTACCTATCTGAATGTTTCATATTTTGGATTTGTTTTTCCAAAAAATATAGAGGCTAAGTGTTTCATTTCAGACTGACCTCAATACATGCCTTTGCATGTTGTACTACAATGTCAAATACAGAATTGTAGAGCTGCTGTCAGTGAAGCATTGTTTTTAATTAAATTCTTATATTGTATTTGAAAACATAATGCAAGTTTAGATTAAAATTGACTGATATATTCAAAATAACTCAGAATAAAAAAAAAAACAAACAAGAGAAAACTTCTACGTTGAGGAAGCACCTGGGGTATCCAGCCAGATTCCGTTAGGCTTTTGAGGATAGATGTAAAGTGGCAAAGGACTTACATGAAAACTAGATCAGATAGAGTCAGGACATCACTTATGAAAATGAGGCATAGCTGTTTGTAATTTTTTGTGATGCTTATGTAGCTTTCTTATGTTTATAAGATTTGATTTGACATCTCTAAGAAATAGAGATTTACGTGCGCACAAGTGTCACCTTCAGGTTGGGGGTTGCACTACCATGTTATACATACACACCAGTGTATGGATAATTCACCAAATTTGCCAAGGAAATATCATTAAGTGCATTGTTTACTGAGCAATTCAGCACTGCCTGTAGAATTTAGGGCTAAGAAAAAGTTTTTGCTTCCCCTAAAGAAATACAATGCTATTTCCTTTGTAATACTAAAACTTTTCTGACCAAACAGGTACCTCCTTTCACTTTGGTTTCCAGGAAACTAAGAGACAAGCTGGAAGCTCAACTGCATCTAATGGACTTTCTTATTTTTTCCTGTTACGATGTTTCTGTTTATATTCGTATACACCATGGCTACTACACTATTTAGCCATTTCATCACAGTTTTTTTGTTTGGGGGCTTGTGCAAGCTGTCTAAAATATTTTATGGTATGAGTTGGGGAGAAATAATTAATTTACCGATGAGACATAGTTGAGAGGCTGTATTTGTTTGCTGGGGCTGACATTACAAGCACTACAGACTGGGTGGCCTAAACAACAGAAATTTATCATCCTGCAGCTCTAGAGGTCAGAAGTCTGAAATCAAGGTGTTGGCAGGGTTCGTTCCTTTTGCATGCTGTGAGGGAGAATCTGTTCAGGCCTCTCTCCTGGCTTCTGTTGATTTGCTGGCAATCTTTGGTGTTCCTTGGCTTGTAGCTGGATCACCTTGATCACTGCCTTCATCCTCTTTGGACTTGTCTGTCTCTGTGTTCAGATTTCCCCTTTATACACAGATACATTCATGTGGTATTAGGATATATCCTAATCACCTCATCTTAAGATGATCATCTGCAAAGACCTTATTTCCAATTAAGGTCACATTCACAGGTGTTGGGATTTAAGACTTCAACATCTTTTTTGGGGGGGGGTTGGGGGGCTCAAAATTCAACTCATAATAGAGGTTATGCAGAGAGTGAGACGACAAATTGGAAAAAAATCAAGTCCTTGTGAGTTCAAAGTCTATATTTTTTCCTAATCCAATGCACAAGCTTCTTTGCACCTCCTCCTTTCAATTCAGCTTGGGTATTCTTCTGTTATCTCACCCTACCTACGTGTTCCTTGGCTCCTCTAGTCTCTCTAGCACTTGGCTTACCAGATCAAGCATTTTTAGCAGGATGAATTTTTCATCTCAGACCAAAATCTCCTTAAGCTGATAAGCAGCTTCAGCAAAGTCTCAGGATACAAAATCAATGTGCAAAAATCACAAGCATTCCTATATACCAATAAGAGACAAACAGAGCCAAATCATGAGTGAGCTCCCATTCATAATTGCTTCAAAGAGAATAAAATACCTAGGAATACAACTTACAAGGGACGTGAAGAACCTCTTCAAGGAGAACTACAAACCACTGCTCAAGGAAATAAAAGAGGACACAAACAAATGGAAAAACATCCCATGCTCATAGATAGGAAGAGTCAATATCATGAAAATGGCCATACTGCCCAAAGTAATTTATAGATTCAATGCTATCCCCATCAAGCTACCATTGACTTTCTTCACAGAATTAGAAAAAACTACTTTAAATTTCAAATAATTTGTAAAAGAAAAGGTGATGTGAGGCCTGAGAAATACAGCCATCATCTTGATTTTATTATGACAGCTGTAATAGTTGTCATCACAGGGTCACAATTTTTCCTATTTTGAGTTGGTGAAGACACAGCTTTTTTCCTTTTATGTACAATGCATTGTGTCTTTCTCATGACTCCCACCTTCTGTGTGGCACTGGTGATGACAGAGGTGAATAGGGAGGGAATAGGATTAGGATTAGTCTATCATGTCAGTTTAGCTTAATCCCATCATTTCCCATTTTCTCTCTTTTCTCTGTTCCCCTCAAAGATTGCACTGAGTGTACAGAATGTAGTGAGTTTTGAGATGATAGGGTAGTGGACAGACAGGGTTTCCAAATCTATGGGAGTCTGAGATCATGCCAGTCCCTGGTGTAGGTTCTCTCCTGTATGGCGCCCTACCTGGGATCTGATGCTGGAATCTGGTGGCCAGTCTCTTATAGTTTAATCAGGGCTGGTGGTTCTCTGTGGAGGCCTTGGCCTGCCTTCATTTCATACTGGCACAGCTTAGCAGTTATCACCTTTGTATTTTATTTAGGCAACCCAGGAACTTTTCAGTCCCATCCATGCCAGTTATTAGCAGGCATGCTCAAGAAAGCTAAGCACCAACATTTTCTCTGTGCCTATCTACATGACATCACTGGGATCACTTTGATGCTCTGTCTCCCTTTACCCAGTGGGTATAGGGTTGGTCAGCAAAGTGGTTCCTCTTCCTGCTGCTGGTATCTCATTTTACTAATTTAAAATTTCTTTCCAGTCTTGGATACAGTCTGCAAAGGAAGACTCTCCTGCCCTTCCTACCTTCCTGTCCTCCTCTCACATTCCTCAGAACAGAAGGGATGACCTACTGCCTCCTTACTTTATCCATCCCAGCAAGTCCTCCTGCAGGACTTGTGGTCTAGTTTATCCATCAGGCATCTTGATAATTGATTGTATAAAGACTCTTCCCTGATGACAGTTTGGCTTTTATGCCTACTGTCTAGCCATTCACTGAAAATTCCCATTAGGGATGTTAAAAAATGGTTTCATCTCTTTCTCATTCAATTTCTCTGGTAACAGTCCTGAAGCACTTCTCTCCATGGTGGATGCTTCAGCTGAGTTGGGAGAAAGTTATACATTCACAAAAATGCGTAAAAAAAACAGTTATCTTTCTCCCTCTCACTCACAAATACACATAGCCCACCAAATATTATCTCTGTTATGTAATAATAATTGATACCACTTCTGGAGCATGTGCTGAGGTGCCAAACATTGAGCTAGGCACTTGACATATATTATCTCATTTAATCCTGTTAACAACTCTGAAGTATGGTTCTTTTTTAGTCCAATTTTCCAGTTGAGGAAGCTGAGCCTTAGAAGGAAGCTACGTTTTCTCCCATGTTCAATTAGCTATAAATGATGGAGACAAAATGTAAACCCTGGTAATTCTCTACTTTTGCTTATTTCCATCTAGAAAAAAACCTCTAAGTACTGAAAAGCATTGTACCTTCTGATCTCATTATAATTCTTAAGAAGCTGCCATTCTTGTAAAGCAATTCCACATAGTCTCTCCTATCCTCTCCTGATATTTTTAGTATGCCTAAAACTATTTATGGCCAGCAGTTCCATGGGCTACCCTCTCCCTTGATGTCACTGTGTTCCTAAATATCATCTGCAACCCTCCGCACCTAATTCAGCCACTGATGCTCATCTTCTCTCTACAAAGATTAACTGTCATGCATGTCCTGTTGTCCAAGCATTTTTCATGGCTGGCAAATAAAACCATCATCAATAACCTATTAGCATTCAGCAGCTTCAGTGAAACAAAAATAAGGGACTAACTGTTTTAGCTCCAAAATTTATAGAACCTCAAATGCAAAGAAACTCACAAAGAGGGGTTTGCTTGCTTCCAATAGAAAGCTCTTGCTTTCCTCCCGAAGCTGATCCACCTGTAATATGGCATCTTAGGCTTAAGACCTACAAGTGAGACTGGTCAAGAAAGACTTTGTAGCCTTCTATGAATTTCTGTTTGCCCATTAAATTTTTCCCCAGTCTCTCTCACACTTGATATATGTAAATATTTTGTTTACTGGAAACCTTACTTTTGACAGGTGGCGATTCTAGCTGCCACTGACTGTCAGGGTTTAATTCCAAAACAAAAGCTCACTTAAAAGTAAGCACAAACTATGAATAAAATAGTGAAAAAGTCTCGTTTAATATCTTTTAGAGGTTCAGTTACTCAGAAGCCTCCAGGTAAATTTCCTAGGCATCCAAGCCTAGCAGTGAAAAGACCAGGCATGCCTCAGCCCCACCCTGTTCTCCTGACTTTCTATTGCTTCCATTTCAACTGTAAACTCTGGAGGAGAGGGAGAGTGGTGCTCAGGAGAATTGTCCACAAACAACATTTTGTAGCATCAGAGATCAATTTGGATAACAAGCCATTTTGATTGCAAGGTACAATTTTTTGACCAAAAACAATAATTGTCAGCTGCAAAAGTGACAGGACGTGACTACAGAAAAGAGCGGATTAAAGTCCAGTGTCTGACAAAAGGGATTTTAGATCTGTACTGTAATCATTCTGACATTTTGATGAATGCCTAACCTTACAAAATGGGCTGGAGGTTGAAGTGTTAATCGTGGGATACGTAAAGGCTGCTGCTGTTGCTTTGCGAATTGAACATGAACGTGCAAATGGAACCAGCCTCTTGAAGGATGCTCTAAAACCTTGGGCTTGCTAAATTGGCTGTCATTGTAAGAAAACCTAATACTTGAATGTTTGTGGTCCTCATTTGAAAAATACCTGCAGATTCTATAATATGCAAAAGAAAACAAGTTCATGGGCTCTACGGGAGACGCATACATTTTTCTTTCAAACTTCCGTACTGACATCGTGGTGAGAAGCCGTAGAGATTTGCCATAACAAAACAATGTTTATGTGTAATGTGTCTGCCATTTCCCACCATTCATTTCTCTTTTGTATCTTATTATCATGGTTTGGCCCACCAATGATTTCAAAGATTGCTTCCCCATTACTAATCTGATATTACTTTTTAAAGCAAACACCTAAAAAATCTAATTGAATAAGGGAGAATTCTTGTGACAAGGCTGAATATTCAGCTTCTAGTTGCAAATGATTTGTATCATCCCTCTGAAACATTATAGGACATCAGATTTGGTACATTAAGTTCTGCAAGATAAAACACTGTATATATTTCCTCTTACTCTGATGACGGTAACTCTCTAAATGTAACACCAGGCCCACCTAACGATATCAGAAAAATGCATCGATGTTAAGCAGTAAATTATTTTCAGATAAAACAAATCCTCTGGAGAACAGGTAATGAAGGGTAATGCTGGGAGAGCCAAATAATTAAAATGAAGAAGATAACAGAGTAATAACCCATTTCAATTTGACTGATTGACACTTTAAGCAATAAAGAAAGGAATCACATTAATGGCATGATAAAAATTACCATTCTCTTCTATTATGCAATACAGGGATTTAAAAAAAAGTAATGTACCAAGTATGTGTTCCACTTGCCTGAAGTTAATAGTTGATTTCAGAGAAAGCAGGAACTGTATACTGTAGTTTTCTTTAGTGCCCTATTTCTAGATATAAGAAAAATTAATGGATAGAGGATGGAGAGAATGAAGTGAAAGGAAAGATATATTGTAAATCTAATCTACCAGGATCACCTACATGGGTTTGCAAAACAACCTAATGGCATATTCCATGTATATTACAAAATACATAAATTGTTTACTTCGTTTTCTTTTAGGATACTGCATGTTGGACCCTATGAGGATATTTGTTTTACACTAATTATGATGTGCTTTCCATTCTGTGACAACAAAAAGATATTTAGCCCACCTAATTTGGGGTATGAAGTAATTAAGAATAAGACGCAAGCTATTGTTGCAAGAGCCTTGTTTGCTGAAGGTGCCCAGGAAATGCAGTCATACCTGTCATTGAGAGAATCTGCTTTTAGCTCAGCCTGCAAGCAGCAGGTGACCACCCTCCAAGGAGAGATTACATCACCTTCTCTACAATGAATGTCAAGAAAATGTCGATCCTTGCCATAATACACAGCTGACAAAGGAACCCCAAAAAGTGAGTGGGGTGGGGAGGGTAGGCAGAGGAGGATGGGAGGGATGGGAGGGCTGGGGGGAGAGAAAGTGCATAAACTGGAGCAGTCATTGTCCCTCAAAAGTCAATCAGGCCTCTGACATTGGTAGAGCATATTGGTCATTAGGAACAATAAACTCCAACATAATCAGCTGAAAAAGAATTAGACATTTAAGCAAATCTATAAACAATGGCTAAGATCTAGTCTGAAGAGTCTAAACTAAGACCTGACATCCTGATTCAAAGAGTAAAGCTCCTTCACCTTCACGATTTTGCTCAAAGGTCACTATGTCAATGAGCCATACCTAGACCATTAGAACTTTTTAACATCCTCTTCCCCCCAAAACCCTACCCTCTTTCCTGCTTTATTTTTTTCATTTGTATATATTACCTTATATTATATACTTATTTATTTCCTTATTTTATGTCTCCCCCAACTAGAATTTTACTTCCAGCACAGCAATGGCCTGTTTTGTTCACTGCTGGGCCCCTAGCACCTAAAACAGCATCTGACATAGAGTACACACTCAAATGTTGACTGACTGATTGCACGAATGTAAAGTTAACCATTGTGTATACAACTGGGAATGGAATATACCTTAAAATCAGCAGACTATGTTTTATTCACTAGAAACAGAAGAGGAAGATGAAACTGTTGGAGTAGGGGAATGATGGAAGCAAGGAGAGGTGATACTTACTGTGGTTCCTATCAAGTTCCACACAACTACTGGGATCATATACGGTCATATTATACAACACAAATTTCTCAAGAATCTTACAGGTAGATTGCATTTATCATCTTGAGTTTATAAGAGAGTCAGAGGAAGCTCCCTAAAAATAACCAGTGTGACTAAGGTCACCATATTTAGACCTGGAAGTCATCAACAGGTTCACCTGTGCTGAAGTGAGTACATCTTCAAAAATATCCCACCTGTGACCTTCTGGATGTTTGGATATATGTGGATATACCTGGATAAGGGTGAAGAAGGAGAGATGAGTGATGTGCAGATTTTCCCAGTGCTTCTCTGACATTATGACAGTGATAGAAAATAACTATGACACAAGATTAGCAGGCACAAGTGATATTCAACTTTGCAGATTTTTCTGGAGCTTTGAGTCACAGAAAGAGAAAAGACATTTCATCAGGCTTACGCAGCTCTTCAGAAAACTAGCAGAGGGTTCCCCTTTCCAATTTATCCTAAGGATAATTAGTATCATACCAATAATGAACTTGACATAATCTGGTAAATTGTTCTCAAATAAAAATGTCACTTCTGTATTACGAGTCACCGAAAACTTTTCAAGTTTTTGGAAAACACTCCAGTCTTCTTAATTGTCTAACACACACATAGATATTAGTATAAAATATGTACTATACATTCTACTCAAGAAAATATTTAATATTTGAAATATTCATTCTGAGAAACCGAACTAGGCAGATTAAAGCTTACAATGAATTGATTTCCAAGCAAAGCAATTTTTTTTCCTAGCAGTGGCAAAGAAGAAGTGCTTTCTTTTGTTTCTCTTATAATTAAACTTGTTTGAAACTCCTGAAGAGGTGTGAATGGAATAGTTATACATGTGTAACAGCTCCTTGGTGTCTGGGCCTCAGTGGATCTCAGATTCAGTGGGGGAAAGTCTGAGTTCAAACTAGCTTCAATAAAGTCATGCAATCGACACTCTGGGAAAGCGTACTCTAATAAATATATGAAAGAACAAAAGTGAGCCGACACTCTTCTTCACTAAGCAGCCTGTTCACTGCAGAAATAGCATATATCTTAATGCTTCAGAAGACTACATCAACAGACTCATTTTTTATAAGAACTGCAAAATGGATAATGAAATAGCAAAAGAAATATACCAGTCCCACCTATACTGATTCAAGTGTGGTGTTCCCTGAGCCTTTTTAAGCTTTCATGATGTAGCATTTCTTCCAGCAGTTTTTCCTAAATCCTGTAGGGCTTTGGAGTGGGGGATGGGCACTGAGTAGGGAATAAATCACAGTGCAGTCACTCATAGCAGGGCTGGGTACAGTCATTATGGGCACCCTAGATTTGCCTTCTAGCCAATTTTAAAATGGCTCTTAAAAATTTGTAGTCCCAGAGAATATCACAGCTTGGAACTAAGTCATAGATATCCCAGCTGGTAGTACACTGAAAACACAGAGGCTGTGAATATACTTTATTTCTCAAACTAATCTGAGGGCAAACCCTATAGAATTGACATATTGACATAGCTCAGTGTAAAAAAAGAATTGGAAATCAAGAGATGTGGATCGACTTTCTATCTCTGCCATGAACTGGCCGAGGACATTTGAATGAATAATTACACCTATTCAAGCCTCAGTTTTCTCAATTGCAAAGAGTAACCTTGGGCAAGCTAGTTATTTCCTTTGGACTTCATTTAATTATCTGTTAAAAACAACCTTGCTATGGTATTTTATGGTATTATTAGAGAGAGTCTTACCATAATATTGCTTTTCAAATTCAGTTAATGTCCCTGCCTCCAGTAGATATTTAGAGAGGATTCTGAGCAGAATTAGCCAAATAATCAAACAAAGTTGGAGGATTTGAGATTATTTGCCTGATCAATTAAAATATGAAGGTCAGAGCCAGTATGGCTTTTGAGTAGAAAGGTCACTAGGTTGAAAATCCTTCATCTTGGCTTCTAGTACCAGATTTGCTTCCTACAACCTGTGTTACCTTAGCAAATGGTTAGATTTACAAGATCCATTATAGTATACAATTTTATGCTACATATCTTAACAACTGAAACTTTTAAGGAAAGAGACTTATAATCCTGTCTGGGACATCTAAGGGAGACTATTCATTTAAATCAAAACAAGAGGAATGTCAGTGGGATGTGAGGAAAAATGGCCTGGCACTCTGAAATATCAAACACCAGAATGGGATCCTCTTTGACATCTCAAAATAAACAGCTACTGGTTTTAGATGCTATATTTATTGTCTGCCTCTATATTACTGATTACCAGAGCTCAATGGCTTAAAACAACACCCATGTATTATTTCACAGTTCTGTGGGTCAGAAGTCCTGGCCAGCTTAGCTAGGTTTGGTCAAGTTATCACAAGGTCAAAGTCAAGGTGATGGCTTACTGGGCTCTAATCTGGAGAATGTGGGGGAAGAAACCACTTTCAAGATCATTCAGGTTGTTGGCAGAATCCAGTTCTTTGTGGCTCTAGGTCTGAGCTCCAGGTTCCTTTGCTGATGCTCAGCTGTGAATCTCTCTCTCAGCAACCCATGGCTAACCACCTTCCTTCTCATGTGGCTCCTCTGTATTCAAACCAGCAACAGCTCAAGTCCTTTATACACTTTGAATTCCTCTGACTTTCCCTGATGCTTTCGTCTTCTGTCACTAGCACGAGAAATTTCTCTGCTTTGAACAGCTTCTGTGATTAGATTAGGTCTGCCAGGAATACCCTACCCTTTCAGGGTCAACTACGTCATATCACATAAGACAATCATGGGAATGAAAAGACATCACATTCACAGATTCTGGATATTAGCCCTGTGAAATTGGGGGTGGTGGGGTATTTCTGGAAATTCTGCCCAATACATCTGTTTTAGTCATACTCTTTCTGGAAGGCAGAAGGCCTAAACAATAATGACCTTTTGGCCAGGCTGTTAAAGATAATATAAAGTTTTTACAACTAATAA
Source organism: Homo sapiens (assembly GCF_000001405.40). Taxonomy (NCBI): domain Eukaryota; kingdom Metazoa; phylum Chordata; class Mammalia; order Primates; family Hominidae; genus Homo; species Homo sapiens. The sequence goes on along the minus strand of NC_000008.11, from coordinate 32,006,238 downwards.
ATAGTGTTTACATCTACAAATCATGATTCAAAGGCAATCTGATCTATGTCCACACAACCAAAAACAACTTAGGTGGTTCTGTGAATATTGGAGAAATATGACCCATTCAAGTGACCAAGTTAGATCATATAAAATAGAGCCATTATTCTCTAGGTAGTTATTGAATAATGCCTCGAAACTCCCTATGTTTTGTCTTTGTCCATGTTTCCAGAGTATGAAAAGACAAACATCCAGGCTTAGGTAGTAAATTGGACAAATAGTGAGAAAGTGAGAGAAATTCACTCTGCTAAGGAAAATAACTAGAACAAAGAAACTTCTAATGAACCAAAAGTCAAATAAAAATTCTTTTTTAGGCTTCCATTAGTGACCTCTATTGTATTGAAAGTTCAAGCACAAATACAAACAACAAAATGGAACTGATATCAGATTATGGATTATGTAACAGCAACCAAAGAAAATAGTTCAGGTCATTTTCCCACTAAATAATAATAATTTAACACTCACCTCGCTGAACGTTTTGTTTCTGTTCATCCACTTTGAAGAGGCATTTGAATTATTATAGTAAACTTTTACTGTCAGTCAAGTGTCTAAAGCATAACACCAATTGCCTCTGAAATATTTTAAGATAAATAAAAATTCTTGATGTGAAAAATTGCTTTTTTCAATAACTGGATGGCAATATTTTAAACTAGTAGTTATATGAGGTTCTTAAGATGACTATTTTTCAGCAATTATTATTTTGAAAGATTTAATTTATTGCCCTTTTTGTTTTCCACCTGCAAGTCTCTTTTTCTTTCATCCTTGACCAATCTAAACCTTTTTATAGGAATGGCTCACATGTAATTATCTATGTACTACAAGACACATTCACAAAATAGACCAGGGAATTTCTACGATGTCTTCCACTGGCTCTCAATATATAACTTCAGGGAAAATGTAAGAATATGTGAGGATACTTGACTCTGTAGCATATGGAGCTGATGTTAAGTCCCACCACTTCCTTCCCCTTAACTCACACAATCCACAGAACAGCTACCCATCCTTCTCATCATTCCTCGCCTGTTTTGGCTTTCCCTCTCTCCCTCCCTCCTTCCTTCCTCTCTTCCATCCTCCCTCCCTTCTTTCTTCCTCCCTTCCCTTTTTCCTTTATTTCTTCCTCTTTCCCTTTCTATTCCTTCTCTATATGTTTTCTTCCTTTCTTTTTTTCCTTCTTTTCTTTTCTTCCTTTCATTGGTCATACCAAATTTTCTTCTTCTGGTTTGAGAATTATATTCTCAAATCCTATTTTTCCTTAGTTATTCCCACTGTATTAAATGAACACTTGTATTAATTACCCTTAAATTATATACATGATTTTATATTGCCCCCAAGACAAGTATCCTAGTACATTTTTGCCTCTGTGAGGTCTCATCATGACTTTGTTCACACTCTCCATCCCATTTTTCCCACCACACCACATTTCTGTCTTTGAGAATTGTTAGTCTGGATTGTTTTGTGTATGCTTTTTCTCTTTTGTTTCTTGTTTATTTATAAGTAATATACCTTACTGATAGCTTTGATAGTTTTCTCATCCATACTTCCCATATTTTCCTGGGTTCTCCTGGATATATTTTCTTTCTGGGGTGTAATTTTTTTTAATCAACAGACTTTAATTTTTTAAACAGTATTAGATTTATAGAAAAGTTGAACCAAAAGCACAGAGTTCTCATGTATTCCTTCTACACCTTCCCCCAGCCCCCACCCTCCCGAGTTTTTCCCTATTATTCACATCTTGCATTAGTGTGGTGCACTTGTGACAAGTGCTGAACCAACACTGATACATTATTACTAATTAAAGGTCATAGTTTACATTAGATTTCACTCTCGGTGTTGTGCACTTTTATGAGTTTTCACAAATGCATGATGCAATGTATCCACCATAACAGTCTCATACAAAATAGTTTCACTGCCCTCAATATGCCCTGTGTTCTACCCATTTCCCTCCCCATCCACTGCCCTCTCCATCCTCAACCAGTCCCTGAATCCTTGACAACCACTGATCTTTTTTATTGTCTCCATGGTCTTCCCTTTCCCAGAAGGTCGTGGGGCTGCAATCATACAGCCTTTTCAGACTGGCTTCTGCCACTTAGGAATGTATATTTAAGGTTCTTCCATGTTTCTTGTGGCTTGATAACTCATGAGTTTTTATTGCTGAATAATATTCCATTTTATGGATATCCCATCTTCAATGGTATTTTCAAAGCACATCTTAAGTGGTCAAACTAAAAATAAATTTGTTTCATTTTCACATTTAAATAATATTTTATATTTTAATAAAATATAAATTCCCAGGTTTAAAGCACTTTTTCTTTAGTAACGTATTATCTTCATGTATCCACCATAACTGGTGAGAAATATAACAATTGAATACTTGTTTCTTTTTCCCTCCTTGAATGTTTTGTTTTGTTCTCTTTGCCTTTTATGTCCTAAAATTTGCAATAATGTAGCTAGGTAAAGGATTATTTTCTTTATTTTGTTAACCATTTATGAAACCCTCAAATTTGGGTTCTTAATGCTTTTATAATTTCAAAAATTATAAGATATATTTGAATACAATATTCTTCAAATATTTTCTATCCTTGATTTATTTATTTTTTAATGCTTCTTGTATTTCTATTTTATGGACATTAACATTACAATGTCTTCTCTTTATTTCACTTTTTCTATCATTTCTATATTTCATTTGTTTGTCCTTTCCTTATACCCTCTGGACAAGTTCCTCAAAGTGATTGCCACGCTTTTGAATTTGTTAAGATAAATGTTATGGCCCAGAATATGGTCTACTTGATGAATGTTCCAGGTGAGGTTGAGCAGAATGTGTATACTGCTGTTGTTGGATGGAATAGTCTATACATGTCAATTAGAACAAATTGATTGATAGTGCTGTTCAGGTCAAATTACTGATTTTATATCCTTACTGATTTCCCGCATCACTGCATCTTTAATCTTCTTTTTAGTCATTTTAAAAAGGTTTCTTTAGAGTTTGCAATACATATTTATCACAGGATGGAATGCAGGCTGTTCCAAAAGAATATAACTATATCACAAATGTACACTACAACCTCACTGAAGGTAAAAGTGGTTAACAGTAATTTTGGAAATGAGTGGAGTCTGTAAGTCTAAAAGGAAGAGGAACTGCACATAAACTCAAACTCTCTAGTTGATAAAGTGTCTTTCCTACAGCAATATGGGTTAAAAATTTTGTTCAGCTACAAGCATACAATAGAATTTAATAATTATGTGAATGGATAGAGGAAGGTAGAAGCCATGTTTCTCACTTTGGTGTAGGATTTTACAGAAAAAAACAAGGGGAATAGGCTAGACTAACCAGGTGGTAATATATTAGACTTGGAAACACCAAAATGTACTCATGTTTAGCTTAATGTAGACACAGAAGTTTACATATAGAAATATTTATAGATAGGTGCGCAGGCACAAGTTAGTATACACACATAAATTTCTTTACTTTATCAGCTGAGAAGCTCTAGAAGCAAGGGCACCCCAATAGTAACAATCACACTTAGCACTCAGGTCTTGGCTTTTGTTCTGTTCCCCAATTAAAAGAGTCATAGCTCCTTGAAGAACTGGTTGCCTAATGTTGAAGCAGAAAATATGCAAGATAAGCCTGGAGAATCATGTCGTTCCAGAAAGTAAGGAAGTGCTTAAAAAAAAAAATCCCACACTGATGGGAAACGTCAGAGGGGCACAGAAGTCAGTGGCCAAAGCTGGAACAATTTAAGCAACAAAGTGAAGTCATATTGGATGGTAACCCAAAGTATAAAATGAATATCCATAAGCCTATATTGATGTAAATAAATGAATTAATAAATAAATAAATGGGATAGAAGAAATAGATCTGCCATACAAAAGAATTCCATCCAGGCATGGTGGCTCACGCCTGTAATCCCAGCACTTTGGGAGGCTGAGGTGGGAGGATCACTTGAGGTCAGGAGTTAGAGACCAGCCTTGCCAATATGGTGACACCCTGTCTCTACTAAAAATACAAAAATTTGCTGGGCGTGGTGGCATGTGCTTGTAATCCCAGCTACTCAAGAGACTGAGGCAGGAGAATCACTTGAACCTGGGAGGCAGAGGTTGTAGTGAGCTGAGATCGTGCTACTGCACTCCAGCATGGCCCACAGAGTAAGACTTCATCTCAAGAAAAAAAAATTCAATTAATTTATGTAGATATTTCACCCTCCAGTGGGTGGACAGTAATTCCTGACTCCTTAAGTGTGAACTGTGTATAATGAGCTCCTCCCAAACAGTACAGAATGGAAAGGGGAAAAGTCAATGATGTTCAGGCGGAGTAATCTGACAACACTACCTCAGCCCAGTGATCAAGGTCAACATCAATGGTATAAAGTCATGTTGATAATATGTATACTTGATATCATGCATAGCACTTTACCTCTGTGAACTTCCTTACTAAACCTAGAACGCCAGTCTGGTACTTAGGAAAACATCAGTATCCCTGCTAGTATTACTCAAAGTTGACAAGGCTGTCCAAAACAAAGGAAGTCTGAGAAAACATTGCAGCTAAGTGGAACCTAAGGAGCCATAATGAATAAATGTAGTGTGGTATCCAGGATGGGCTCCTGGAAGACAAAGGTGAAAACTAAGAAAATCTGAATAAATTATGATAAAAATAATTGATATCAATATCTATTGATATTGTATTAGTCCTTTCTCATGCTGCCATTAAAGACTTACCTAAGACTGGGTAATTTATAAAGGAAAGAGGTCTAATAGACTCACAGTTCCACATGGCTCTGGAGGCCTCACAATCATGGCAGAAGGCAAAGGGGGAACAAAGTCATGTCTTACACGGTGGCAGGCAAGAGAGCATGTGCAGGGGAACTCCCCTTTATAAAACCATCAGATCTCATGAGACTTATTCACTATCACTAGAATAGCAGGGGAAAAACCCACCCCCATGGTTAAATTATCTCCCACTGGGTCCCTCCCATGATATGTGGGGATTATTACAATTCAAGGTGAGATGTTAGTGGGGACACAGAGCCAAATAATATCAGATATCAATAAAAAATAATTAGTATTCATATTTACTCACTTATTGTAACAAATCTACCACACTAATATAAGATGTTCATAATAGGGGGAACATGGTAGAGGGAAATGAGAATTCACTGTAGTATCTTCACAATTTTTCTGTATATCTGAAATTGTTTTTAAAATCAACGTTTATTTTCTTAAAAAGCCAAGGCAAAAATGGTATTTTGATTTTGTATGTGTAATAGGGGTATTTATAATAGTGAAAACAATGAAGGCAATCCAATATCCAAAAAAATAAACAAATGATGGTTCATCAATATGAAAGACAAAACAAAAATGAAGTTTTATATTAGGTAGGTGCAAAAGTGTGGTTTTTGCCATTACTTTCAATGACAAAACTTCAATCACTGTTGCACCAACCTAATATATTTTGAAAAAATGAATATAAATGATGTATTGGTTTAATGATCAAATGTAGTTTCCTCTGAAAGGGGAAGCAAAATAAACAAAGTAGGAAAGGAGACTTTTGCTTTTCAGCTTATGTCTGGTTGTACCATTTCTTCTTAATCTTACTCATATGAATTTGTTGAAAACAAATTTTTTTAAGAGAGGGATAAGTCTGTGCATGGTGGCTCAGGCCTGTAATCCCAGTACTTTGGGGGGCTGAGGTGGGAGGATTGCTTGAGGCCAGGAGTTTGGGATCAGCCTGGGCAAGAGAGTGAGGTCCCATCTTTAAAAATATATAAAATATTAGCCAGGCATGGTGGTGCATGCCTGTAGATAGAGTAAGACACGGTCTTTTAAAAAAAAAGAACAAGGTGAAGATGTTGAGGTTCTATTTCAAGGACAAGGTATTTAAGGCACATCACTGAGACACTGACCTTGCAAAGGTAGGGAACAACTCTGGATACATGTAAACAAAAACCCACAGTTCAGTTACTGTAACCTAAAATGCTTGCTCTGAATAGTTTAGCCCAGACCACTACATCATTACAGTTCAAAACCTTTACTGTTTGCCACTGTTTACACAATAAAGTGTACACATTTAGCAGGCTTTAAAAGAAACTGACAATCTGACTTCTGCAAACCTTTCATAGCTACCTTCTGCCCCATCAGCTGTGTACCTGTCCTCTAGCCATGCTGACATCCATCTGCCTTTCCAAATCTCTGTTCCTTTGTTCATACAATTCTATTTGCCACCAGTGTTCCCTTCAAATCTCCAGTTTTAAAAATAATACATGTAGTTCAATTGCAGGCTTAAATACAAACTGCTCCTCCACAATCCCATTTAGACTTTGCCAATTAGAAAAAAAAATGCACATTTTTTTGTTCCCATAGCTGTTTATTTACAAAATGTATGGCCTTTAATTTTCCTATATTATAATTATATTGTACATATCTTTTTTACAGTTTTTACATATCTGTTTCTTTACATGATTATAAGATCCCAGAGGAGAGAGACTATCCTGTTCATTTTGATATTTTTACCTCTTTAACTCAGTGCTTTATATTTAATACAAAGTAGAGACTACAAAACATCTGAATAAATTGAAGCAGATTTCTTTGAAGAAATTACTAATGAACCTGTTTTTTGAATTTTACTAAGGTAAGTTCCAGAAGTCAAACATACAGGCCACAATCCCTCCTGTCTAAATTCCGCGAGGGTGAATGCCGGGCATATTACATGAACTAAAGTTTTCAGTTAGTACATCTTTTGGGTACTGAGCTGCACTTCTTTGGTATGTGTCAAAATATATACATCTACTGCTAAATGAAACTAGTGGACCACTTGATTCTGACCACAAGAAACTTTATAGAGAAGACATATTTAGATACATAATTTAAGCTAAGTATGATGTGGGCACACAATGAGAAGGAATTATAAACAAAAATCATTAAATTCTTAATCATAATATTGAGGATCTGGAATTTAAACATATTAAATATGTACAATGTTTTCTTCTTAACAGTGTCATCATGATTCTTGCCAGTCTAAAAATATTCCTTCATTATTGATTTCTTTATTAGTCAATTTCCATTGGAAAATACTTCCAGTGTTAATTTTTACAGAAGGTCAGTGCATTTCAGCAAAGAAATCCTCGTGGTGATGTTACCAAAAAAAGAAAAGAAAAAAAAAAGAACTATATACCAAGTATCTGATTTTACGAAGTATACCCAACCTGCTTTGGGTCTTCTTAAAGAGCCACTGACCAAAAATCCTCTCAAAGGAAGAATCTGAAATTCTCATCTGCATTGCCCTTGAGTCTTCAACTTAATAAGCAAAGTAAAAGTCAGAGAAATTCATTCAGAATTTACATTGATTTAATAATAATCAAAATGAACATTGCATGTTCACAAAAGTAGATATAAATATCTATAAAAATCAATTCTTTGGGACAGGGAAGACACTTGTCCTTCCTAAGGTGCCTAATTGGCATCCAAGGAGGGTAGAGTGGGGAGAACCCAGGAGAACCTTTCTTCAACAAATGTCAGTGTGGTGGTTACTCTCACGCCATGGACAGTGTGCTTTGAAAGGATGCACTTTATTCTCACCATTGTGTAAAGTTCCTATTGACTCATGAAGTGAGTTCTGAAAGTTTGCATTCAATGAGCTATCTCCAAAGAACCTATATACAGTTACAGCATGCACTACAATTTGTCTTTTCCTCTTCTTTACCCAAAGATTAGCTCTAATGTTACTACTTTTATTAAACCTTCCTTGATTTCTCCATAGTAAAGAAATTTCATGTGTCCATGAAGCTTTGTGCATTTTAGAGATTTTACCAAGTATCTGTATTCAAATGTATTTTTGATAGATTTTCAGCTTCATGTGAATATTATTCAGATACTTAGCACAGCATTTGAACATAAAAAATGTTCAGTAATATATGTATAGTTGATTGAATGACTGAACCTCTCCAGTGTTTGTCTCAAGACTTATATCTTTATGGCAACAGCATTATTCTTGATACCTCCCTAGGCTGGAATCAAAAATTTCTAACAGAATACACATTTCACCTTGTGTTACCCAATGGGGAGCCATCCTTTTTGGAAAATGCACCAAGATTATGATTGCTGAAATTCTTATTGCCATAAGTGATATTGAGAAACTCACCCCAGGCCCTATTATTCATGAGAAAAGTCATTTATAAAATCTTTACGGGCTTTGATTATTTAAGAGGCAATAGAGGATGGTGATTAAGCATGCATTTCTCAAGATAGACTGTCCAGATTTGAGACTTACTTATTCCATTTATTGGCTATGCCTTCCTGAGCAAGTTATTTAAATTCTATGTTTCCTTATTTGCGAGATGGAGATAATAATATTACCTATCATACATGGGTTGCAAGGATTGAATTAGGTAACACATGTAAGTTCTTAAGACAGGATTTGGCATACAGTAGGCATTCAGTAAGTCTTAGCTATCTAATGTAGTATGCTAAAGACACTTGCTAGTTAGTTCAGCAGGTTAGAGCAAAGCACAGTAGAAGGAGACAGTGTGATGATGTGGGAAGGACTCTGGAGTGAGTGAGAAGAAATAGATTTAAGTCTTGGCACTGACACTCACTTTGGGTCCTCAGCCAAATCATTGCTTCCTTGAGCATCAATATTCTCACACTTAAATGTGAAAAATAATATCAGTTTGCAGAATTGTTTTTGATGATTAAATGAAGTGATGAATGTGAAAGAGCTTTATGAAATATAATGTGTTATAAAATGTGAAGCGTTATTTCTATTTCACCATCAAAAGCACAGCAAGGAACATTTGCACCCTATTGCCTAGCCAGAAGAAGGACAGGACAAATTTGTGCCAGGCAATCCTGCTGTTACTTCTACTATTAATATCTAATGATAGCATAGGCATTTTAAGTCAAAAGGAAATATATTATTTCCTTTGAAACTAACAAGCCTAAAGGACACTTTGAAAAGTGAACTGGAAGCAAGTACTAAAAATAAAACAAAATTAATGCCTTCATAGTAAAAAAAAAAAAAAAAAAGGTTACACTATATAGTATTTTCTTAAAATATTTTGGGCAAATGATAAAAAAATGCCCATATTATTCCCATTCAATTAAAAAATTAAATCAATATTTACCAATATGGGAAAAACTCTCAGTTTCAATTTTTATTTAATAATGAAACTAGTCTAGAAACGTTTGCCTTAATAACTATTGTGTTTCAAATGCAATTAGATATAATTACTGTACCTATTGTATAGAATTTAAAGAGAAGAACTCTTTTGACAGTGAATCCCACCCCCCCTTAGTAGAGATGGGGCATGGGGTGGGTGAGCTTGTCCAAGCCAAAATATGGCTTTCACAGGTCCTTTTTACAATTGTCCAAATAGTAATACCTTACTCAACAAATCAATCCAACCAACCCTTTAAGCTGAAAGATATATATTTTTCATTTAGGCTTTTAGTCAATTGAGCTAAATGTATGGGTTTTCTTTTCTTTTCTTTTCTTTGAAGACAGGGTCTTTCTCTGTCTTTCAGGTGCTGGAAGACCTCTCCAGCTCAAGCAATTTTCTTGCTTCAGCCTCCTGAGTAGCTGAGGCCACAGGCATGGGCATGGGCTACCATACCTGGCTAATTTTTTTTAAATTATTTTTTGGTAGAGAAGAGGGTCTCACTTGTTACTCAGGCTGGTCTTAGACTCCTGAGCTCAGGTAAGCCCCTCATCTCAGCCTCCCAAAGTGTTGGGATTACAGGAATGAACCTCCGTGCCCGGCCTGGGATTTCCAGTAAGTCAGTAATCACTTGCTTCCTCTTTATGTGTCATTTTGTTCTCACAAATGTCTTTTCCACTGGTAACAAAACCTACTTTCAGTCATTCATGTGTATTGCGACTTTTACTTCAGTGTGCTTATCAGGCTTCCAGACTTCAACTGGACATAGACTTTTGTTTAATTGGAGTGCCAATATAAAGAACATAGAAATAATATGGTCTCTACCTTCAAGGTGTTTGCACCTTAAAGACTGTATAAATTTTATGAATAGATTCCTAAGATAAAAGAAATGAGGCCTGTTAAATGGAAAGACAAAAGAAATACAAGTTTGGAAGAAACAAAGGTGGAAGGAGGTACATAACAGTGCAGACGAAGAAAGGACTGCATACTTGATGAGATGAAGAAGAAATGGGCACCGTGAAAGAAGAGAAGAGGAGATGGAGGTGCTCACAGCACTGAGAAAAGAAATCCGTCTTTCATGATAGCATTTCAAAGGGGCTTTGAAAGAAGACTACAGGGCATAGGGAATACGGAAATAGAAAAAAAGGATAATTTTGTAGGTAAGCATGCCAAGAATAAAAGCATGTGGGACAAGAGAAAGGTAAGTAAAATGAAAAGACAGGGTGAATTTGGCATGTACTACTACGCAATTGCAATAATGGTAGTAATATTGGACTCTTCCTGAATCTGTTTCCTCTCCAACTCCACTGCTGAGAAAAAGGTACCTTTGTCTTCAGGAAAGCAGAGACATAGAAGGAAATAGTTTATCTGGGAAACAAGACATGGAAATAGGACACATACAAAAATTAGAACCTTAAAGCCCCCTCCCCGCCCAACGATCAGACATAACCCAGGGTCCTCACTTTCAGAGACAGTCTCTAAAAGGAATAGCATCTGCCTATAAAGTAAGTGAAGAAGAGTGGCAGTCCAGTCCAGCTGACTCCGGGTGTTCTAACAAGCCACAAGGGTATCCCAGGAAAACAGCCTATTTTATATAATTTTCAGTGTGATCTTTCTTTTAGAGAAAAATAATGCCTAAATTCATTAGTGAAAAACTCTGCAGGATTATAGTCCTTTGGAGTAAAACAAAGGGGAGAATATAGGGAAGATTTATCTCAGACAGCAAAATTCCTTACAATAATATTATTACCTAAGTGCTACCATAGCAGTATATATAAATCACAGTATATACATAGACAAGTAAAGGATTAATTCTGCCCAGAGTAAAGGGCAGAGGGGAGAAGAGATTCTTCCTGTGCTATTTCTTATATTGACCTCTATAAAAAAGCTGAGGACAAAATGTTAAATTGTAACTCTGGGAAGGAAATTCTATGGGGATATAAAGTAAGATAGTCCCCTTACATGGCTCTCTGATAATATAACATAATATGGGAATAAACTTTAGAAAAACAAAAGATGTTATTAGAGAATCTGTTGCTTTGACATTCAGAAATTGCTCAGTTAAACCAATTCAATACTTGAAACACTAGATCCCTCTACTGTTAGTTAAAGAAAGATCTTTATGATTTTTAAAAGCTAGAGGTAATTTAATATTTTAACTTAAAACCTAGTATCTTAATTTATATTTTCAATCAAATAGAGGCCTTCCCAGCTGTAAAGAAAGTTGGGTCACAGTAGTTTACATTTTTTTTACCCAAAAGAATTGTGAGATGACTCAAGTCCTCAACTGCAAGGTTAGGGTTCTGTGTAAAAGCATAGAAGGGAAATTTAAGGTATTACCAAGCAGCTTCTTCATAGGTAAGCTATTTGAAGTCTTTTTTTTTTTTTTTTTTTTTTTTTGAGACAGAGTATTGCTCTGTCACCCAGGCTGGAGTACAATGGCACAATCATAGTTCACTACAGCCTTGACCTCTTTGGCTCAAGAGATCCTCCTGCCTCAGCCTCCTGAGTAGCTGGTACTATAGGCACATGCCACCATGCCCAACTAACTTTTTAAATTTTATGTAGAGACAGGATCTTATTATGTTACCCAGGCTGGTCTTGAACTCCTGTCCTGAAGTGATCCTCCCACCTCGGCTTCCCAAAGTGCTGGAATTGCAGGTATGAACCACTGCACCCAGCCTAGGAGACTTCTTCTAACCTGTCATTCCACTCCAGGCTACAGTTACCTAAGTGAACATCTAGCTTAAATTCATACCTAACTGTGTCCTTGATATTCATTCCCCAGTGTCCATCCATTGGGTTCCTTCTTTACAGATTGCTCCCGTCTCTCAATCTGAAGCACTCCTCTCAAGAAACATGAATACTTTGCAGACCCACATATTATAAATTTACTTGGTTCAATATCTTTGTATAAGAGCTATTAGAATTATCCTCAAACCTTGTCCTCTTTGTTGCTGCAAAGTGCTCTAAATAGCACCCTGTACCTCGCTTTAAGATGGCAACTAGACCCTGCCAAAATTGACCCATCCTATCAGTACTGAATGTTGCAAAAATGAAACTAATCCATTAAATTGGAAACTCTATGTTTGGTGTGAACTCTAACTCTATCCAGATTATCTCACAATTCTCTCTTGTTTTAATGGAGCCAATTACTCAGTAGGGTTGGTTGTGGGGTGCATAGTATCCCTGTCATCAGGCTAGACTTCAAGATGAATCACAGTAAGGCAATTGCATGGGTGAGCAAACTGTGTTTACACCATTTAATAGAAGTAATAGGGCAGGTGCCTAGAGGTAAAGTCCTTAGCCCAAAGGTCTGTGATGGAGTCTGTATTAGTCCATTCTCATGCTGCTGATAAAGACACACCTGAGACTGGGCAATTTATAAAGGAAAGAGACTTAATGGACTCACAGTTCCACATTGGCTGGGGAGGCCTCACATTCAAAATGGAAGATGAAGGAAGAGAAAAGGGATGTCTTACACAGTGGTGGGGAAGAGAGCTTGTGCAGGGGAACTGCCTTTTATAAAACCATCAAATCTAATGAGACTTATTTACTTACCAGGAGAACAGTATGGGGGAAACTGCCCCCATGATTCAATCATCTCCACCTGGCACCAACCTTGACACGTGGGGATTGTTATAACTCAAGGTGAGATTCAAGTGAGGACACAGTCAAACCATATTAGAGTCCAAGAATGAAACAAAGCAGAACAAGGGATTACAAATGAAGCTCCCTGGACCCCATGCTTCAGTAGGAAAATTCCTTAATTGGCTGTGTAGGATGCCTTTGGTCCTCTGCTGTTCTGGCCCCAGAGCTCCCCACTTTCTCTGGCCAGTCTTGCATTTATAGAATCTTACTCATTTTAATTTCATTAAACCTACACTGATCAACCACCCTCTACTCGAGTCAACCCCACAGACTTTGTAACTAACTCATTCAATTTTAGCTTTTAAGTGTTACTTTTGTCTCTCATACTAGAATGAAAACTCCATTAGGGAGGATACTAATTCTTACAATCCTTCTGTATCCCAGATCAGTTAGAAGAGTGAGCCTTGATAAATATTTGTTAGCTGACTAATTGTTTGGGTAATTGAATCTATTTCAGGGTAATATGATCATAACTTGTTATTATTATTTTTTTGGAAGAGAGCCCACTTAGGCCCCTTGGAGTTTTTGGAGACTTTAAATGCTTCTCTACTCATTTATTCTGGGAAAAATATTTCATACTTGACAACACTGTACATTCAGTTTTAATCCTATTTTGCAATGGAGCTAATGCTTATATCTGCCCATAATTATGACAAATATACTGTCCTACACAATGTCTTTTATTAATTAATAAAATCAGTAAAAGAATAGGTGATTTTGTGGCAACAGTGCTTTCAAATGTGGAACTAAAATAAGTGATATATGATTAGAAAGTTTTTCAGAAAAAGATGAGTCTTTCTAGTCGAATTAATTTTAAGTAGGAGTCAGGTATCAAAAATCTTTGTATTGCTTATGGAAAATTCCATCCTTTCAACTCTAGTTGCTCTCTTCCCACAGTATTCCCTGCCTGCATTTGGCTCCTAGTTTTAACATCAAAAGCTGTTCTTGTCAATTATCCTCCATTCCCTCCCCTGTCTAGGATGTGATACACATGGTTAGAGTTCAGTATCAGGCAAGCAGAGGTTACATCACAGCAGTGCAGGCATCTTTAAACTGAACATCAGACATTTCTGCTCTTAAACACTACTTAATCAACAAATTCTCTGTTTTTTGGTACCCCCTTTTCCTTTCAGAAATCCAATACAATCTAATCAAAAGTTGAATTCCTCCCATTTTCTGTTTCTTTCTTTCTTGTTTTAAATAGACAGCTGGCTAATTTTTTATTTTTTTTTAAGAGATGGGATCTCACTATGTTGCTCAGGCTGGTCTTGAACTCCTGGCCTCAAGCAATCCTCTCACCTCAGCCTCTCAAAGTGCTTGGATTACAGGTATGAGCCACTGAGCCTGGCCTCATTTTCTTTTAAAAGCAAATTATCTCTCTCTTGTGCCTCTTTGAACATTTAGACGCCCTTGGATGAATTGCAGTGTGTCATAAACTTTAAATTTTATGCTTTATTTTCTATCAGGTTCTACAGGGAAAGGTATTAGTTAGTAAATGTTATTTTTCCCTTGATAAAAATTGTATTAGATCAGGGCAGAAGCATAGAGAAATTTTCAATAGTGTATTGCAGGTAAATATCATCTTGGGAAAAAAATGAAAGAAAGAGAAGGAGAAAAGGGAAATTGGGGAAGGAGGAGGGAGAAGGAAAGAAATAAAGAGTGAGCTTAATTTAAAAAATAGGCAACCTATCCACAGGCAAGGGAGAAAACTTGATACACACCCACAGGATATGGCAGAGGGAAGAGTGTGGGTGTTGGAATCAGACAGCTCTGGTGTCAAATCCAGTTCCAGCAGAATGTGACCTTGAGCTTAGCTTCCCTCATCTCCAAATACTATATCCTAGCACTCATATCAAATATATTAACACACTTGTATTAAACTGGTGTGAAGATTAGGATAACATCTGTGAAGACCCCAGACAGTGCTTGGACATGAAGGTGCTCACTAACTGGTCACTGAAATGATAATGATGATGAGATAATGATGATGAAGAAGGAGAAGAAGAAGAAGCAGCAGAAGAAGAGGAGGAGGAGGAGGAAAGAAAGAAGAAAAATAAAGAGGAAAGAAAGAGAAAAAGAGAAGAAGAAGAAGAGGAGGAAGAAGAAGAAGAAGAAGTTGTTGTCGTCGTCAGGATGAGAAAACTGTTTTCATCTATGAGAAACAATCACCGTGGAGGTAGGAGGGGGACTTTGTTTACTCGATCACTTAAAAAATTGTTCTCTAATGTATAAAACAATCCATTAGGACAGACATTTACATTTACTGTCCTACTCCTTCTATTAAAACTACTACAATATGTATTTCTTTTCTGAAACAACAGCTAACATGACAGTGATGGAGGCTATTAACATTTATAACTGACTTGTAAAACCATGAATCAAGATAATTTTTTAAAGTAACAACTTTCAAGTACCAATTCTTCCTTAACCAGAATTTTCACTTCTCAGTTGAAATGAGTTTCATACTATCTGTATGAAATGGGTGAGAAGGAATTCCAGTTTCATCTGTGCCCAAGGGTCTCCATGTGAACATTGTCTCCTCATTGACTTGGCAACAAAGCATGACACTCATTTACAAGGACTGGAAGATGGGACAATCCTGGAAAAGTTTAACCAGAACCAACTTCACTTCATGCTGATATTTCAACCTTGTCCAATCTGGGATCAGGGTTAGAATGACCACAAAGGAAGAAAAGGGATGCCACTTGATGTCATATGGTTTAGCAGAGGAAAAGTGTCTACCACAAAATGTACTTTTTGGAAGATACACTTTTGCCTTCTTTTAAATATGTCAAATAAAGAAAACAAACAAAGAATCTTATTTTCTTCTTACACATTTTTGCTTGTCCATTGACTCTTTGCACCTTAGTGTGACTATGCTGCAACTAGAAATGCCCTGCTAGTTCCTAAAGCTCAAGGTGCATTAGTCCTATTTGTGTTTATCAAAATAAATGGACTGGCCATTAATTTATCTCAGTCCTGTCTTGTCTGGGCATTTCTACCTACCACAATATAAAACTCTCTCTTCCATGTACTAATGAAAAAAATTTCAAAAGCATATCCTGTGATTGGGTACATAACAACTATTTGGTAATTGCAATCTAGAGTGGGTATTTCAAAATTCAAATGCAACTTAGCTTGTTGAAACAGCATTACCTAGATCAGGAATTTGGAGATGTAGTTTCTACTAATTTCTCCACCAATCACTTACTAAAGACAAGTTAGCCAGGTTTCCATTTTCCCATATGTAAAACAACACAAAGTGTGACTTCAGAAAACCACATGGGCACAATGAAAATAAATGAGCTGTGTATCTGGTACCGTTAACTTCTTGGAGGCACAGGGCTACACAAATCAGAACATCCCCTTGTTAGATAGCATTAGAATGAAAAACAAATCAAAGCCTAATCTGACTATATTTGCAATGCTCTCATAGAATAACTGTATGGATAAGAATTTATGAGAAATTGCTTGCTAGACATAATGCCTTTGAGACGTGGAGAATTCACATAAGCACAAAGTCCAACATGGAAAGTACATATATCAACAAGCAAGAGAAATTCCAACCACAAACCACTCTTCCAAGACCATTCAGATTCAGCCAACTTCATTGGCACGTCCTGGAATACCATGATTGCCAAAGGTAATGTATCAAAGAGAAAGGGTTCACAAAAGTCCTAAAAGAAATAGTAGGGCATGAAGGTTTTCAATGGCATGCTTATATTGGATTACTGTCGCTTCCCAGTGCAAAAGCAAATTATTTTTTCATTGAGAAATAATCAGGTTCCAGATCTCCTTCCAAATATTTTGCCAAGAGTGGCCCAAGAGGACTGTATGCAAGGCAGACGCTTAAAGGTTAAAGGAAGTACTTGAGGCATAGCAGCTTTGGAAAGGTACTTGGAGATTACTCTAGAGATTATTTCTATCACTGTTGCCTTATGCTGTATGAAGACGATGCAAACTGAACTGGGACACAATAAAGGGTCTGCTCCTCAGGATCATGGTAAATATAACTGATACTCAGAAAATAGCTAGCAAGCATTTGGAATGTGATGTTCCTGCTAAAAAGCTATCAAGATGTTCTCCCATGGATCCTGTTGTATAATTTAGGCTTTTTTTTGTTTTGTTCTTTTTTTTTTTTTTTTTTTTGAGACAGAGTCTCTCTCTCACCCAGGTTGGAGTGTAACAGTAATCAACAGTAATCTCGGCTTCACTGCAACCTCTGCCTCCTGGGTTCAACTGATTCTCCTGCCTCAGCCTCCTGAGTCTGGGACTACAGGCGCACACCACCATGTCCAGCTAATTTTTGTATTTTTAGTAGAGACAGGGTTTTACCATGTTGGATAGGCTGGTCTGAAACTCCCGACATCAGGCGACCTGCCCACCTCAGCCTCCTAAAGTGCTGGGATTACAGGCATGAGCCACTGTGCCCAGCTACTGGGGTCTTTTTATTGTAAGCAACAGAAAGTCATCGTCAACAAAAAGAGGGGTCAAGTTATTGTAGAATGAATAGTATGAAAAGAATTCCGGAATTTGCTGGAATGGTACATGAACTTGGGAAGCAGAACTGGAAAAGCATAGGATCTAAGGCACCTCAAGTATACAGGCTAACTTATTCCCTCAGAATCATGTGTTTATTATTTCTCCACTTTTGTGATATGCAGCAATTCAGTGGATCTCTGGCCTCACTGCAGCTGCCATATCTAGTCGATATCAACTTCTTTGCTATGTATGTATTACCTTCTCCACCTCATATCTTCTGCTTTCTCATCATTGTGACTTCTGTAAATTCTTATAACCCTTCCCACCTTGTGGTCTCAGATTTCCTCCTTTCTTTTATATGTTTTCAGTACCAGAGTAAAGAAGAATTCAGTTGGCCTAGATAATTGTTCATCATTCCTTTTTGGACAGAAATTTTGATGGTAAGCTTCCTTTTAGAGTTTTGGCCAATCCACAAAGTGGCTGAAATTGGATCCATGGTCAACTGGGTCAGTTAGGGGTGGCCACATGAGCGGTGTATTCAGGAAAAATTGAGGACCCAGTAGTTTTCAGCAGAAGAGGACTAGGGGAGTGGGAAGCTCCTCAAGGAGCTCATCTCTCTTTAGTTATGGTCGAACTCTGAAAATTAAGTGTCAATCAATTAACCAGTTACAACCATTAACCCAATTGTCTGTGGCACACCCTGTACGCAAAGCATTAAACTAGATATGCCAGTGAATACCATTTTGTCCCTAGAAAGGAAAGGAAAGGTTTCACAATCCTAGTGTTTAGTAAGGAAATCTAAGACAGAAACATCTGGACAAAAGGGTGTGAGTGCGTCCTAAATGTCAGGACAAAGTACTATTACAGTTAGTGTCCTTTGGGGCAGTGTGGTATAAACGAACAAGCACCGAAATGAAAGAAATCTGGACTTTAGTCTTAGCTCAGAAATACAAATACTGTACTTGTGTTTCAGATCACAGCATAATCCTTTATTAATTACTTTATCTCTTGATGCCTTAACCTATTCCTAAAATGAAGGTAAAGACCTGGTGATGGAACTCTACCACTCTCTAATTATTTTGGTATTACTATTACTTATCTAAGAAAGTCATAGAGGTTATTTAAAATGCTGAGGTTGGAATAATCTAACATCTATCCCTTTTTTTTCCTTCCAACTTTTAGGTTCAGGGGCACATGTGCAGGTTTGTTACATGGGTAAATTGCATGTTGCTGGGGTTTGGTTATACAAATTATTTCATCAGGCAGGTAGAGAGCATAGTACCGGATAGGTAGCTTTTTTGATTCTCATCCTCCTCCCAACCTCCATCCTCAGGTAGGCCTCAGTGTCTATTGCTCTCTTCTTTGTGTACATGCATACTCAGTTCAGCTCTCACTTGTAAGTGAGAACATGTGGTATCTGGTTTTCTTTTTCTGCCTCAATTTACTGAGGGTAATGGCCTCCAGCTGCGTCCATGTTGCTACAAAGGACATGATTTCATTCTTTTTTATGGCTGCATAGTATTCCATGACTAACACCTTACAGGTAAATTCTGTCATAATTTCACACACATACACACACACACACACACACACACACACATATATATGTTTTTTTTTTTTTTTTGAGACAGTCTCACTCTGTCACCAGACTGGAGTGCAGTGGCGTGATCTCACCTCACTACAACCTCTGCCTCCTGGATTCAAGCAATTCTTCTGCCTCAGCCTCCCAAGTAGCTGGGACTACAAGCACAGCCTCCACCATGCCCAGCTAATTTTTGTATCTGTAGTAAAGGCGGGGTTTCACCATGCTGGCCAGGATGGTCTCAATCTCTTGACCTCATGATCTGCCCGCCTCAGCCTCCCAAGGTGCTAGGATTATAGGCGTGAGCCACCATGCTCAGCCAACACTAATACATTTTAACTGCCAGACTTATTTTACAATCAATTCAAGTTGTCATTAGAAACAGTCACATTATAGCACTCTACTTGAATTGTTTCACTTATGGCTTTTGCCTTCTTTAGCTTAAAAGTCAACAAACTTTTGTATGTTTCTCCTAATTTAGTAAACCATACCTCAGGTTGAAATGATCATGATTACCTCAGATTTAGACTCAACATAACAGAAGCATACAAGAAAGAGAGATTCTATTTGTCTCCTGCAGTGAAACAGACATCAAGATTTGATCTGCACCTGTGGTTTACTTCAGCCGTTCTTCCTTTAGAATGCCAAATGATATTAATAGCTGGCCAATTCGTACAAAACTCACAAATCTACTTTTCTTATTGTTGTTTAGAGTTTATCTTATTTGAGAAGAAAACTAAGTGCAGATGATACTTCAACCCCTGAAACTAAGAAATATTTCATGCTCCATTGTCTCCAATAACTTTGCAGAAAATGTATTAAGTTTAGGAGGCAGTCAAATTTGTGTCAAATGCCAATTCTACCCTTTACCGGTTGTATGAAGTGTCTAGAGCAAGTTTTTTGAGATCTCTGGCCTCTAATAACACCCAGATTTCAGAGTCATCTCAAAGTCTACATGAGGCAATGTATGAAAAGTGCTTCATGGGGAGTGTGGTGTGGACTGGTGCTCAATATGTGTAGGGCTTCTTCCACTTCCTCTTCCCCTTGTCTGCCTGCCTTTTGCACTCCTCACAAGCCAATGATCTCTTACTGATGCACTTTAGCCAGTCACACCACCCCTTACAACTTATCTGAGAAATCTACCCAAAGAAAATTCCCTCCTAGTTACATGGAATGCATATTATGAGGGGCTAAATGAACTTCACAGAAGGCATCCAACACTGCAGTCCTATGACACAAGCAAGGGCAGCATTTGCTCTAGAATATTTCATAGAAGTGAAACCAAGACAGCAAATGATTCGACTGAGATCACTTAGAGGATAAGTTATAAATGGATGTCTAATAATGCAATTTGCTAAAAGAGTTGATGCAATGGTATTCTAGAACCATTTCCCCCTGAAGGTTACATTGGAGAGTTCAAACTAGGAAGCAATGTTTTGCCAAGTGCCATACTGCAGAACAAGGATACATCATCAATAACTCTGCAAAGAAATGCAATATAAGTACAGCCCCTAAGAACGGACAATATAAATACTGCAATTATTTTAATATATTTGGAAATCCAATCTCTGCAGAAAACAAAAGCCTTTCAAGACAACCAATAAATTGGATATTTTAATGTAGTAGAAACATACACAAAACTAACTACATATCATGAAATATCTGAAATGGTTAAATGTCATTATATTTTTGTTTTCCTTTGAGGTAGAAATACTCCCCAAATGTCTTTATAAATTCTACTCTGAGTATCTAAAGTAAAAAAAAAATCAAAATCATTTGAAGCTGAAAGAAGATATGGAAAAAGTAATTTATATTTTTGTGTATCAGGTCCTCTTAGTAATAAATGGTAACATCATACATTAAATTGCACCCTTCTTTTAGTGACCATGAAATGTGCTCTTTACATTAATTTTTAGAGGTACTGGGTGTATTCAACTGAAAGAACTTATTGCTTCTTTCTATAAATGCTCGCTAATCATGGGTAGAAAATTTTGCCTAAAAATTTTGTAACTCCTTTGCTTTAGAGCAAAGTGCAAGATGTATAAAAAGGAAATCAAACATAGAACTAGAATTCTTAAGTGCTTGGTCTAGAATCAATTTCCCCTACCTATTAACCTCTCCTCTCTCTCCTTTTTCTCCTTATTTTCTTATAATCATCACTTTAAGTCATTCTTTAAATCTTTTTCTTGTCTAAAAACAGATTACGAACCTCACAGTTTGCTTTTATAAACACTCTCTGACACAGGAATATTAATAATTGTTTATTTCTTCTCTCTATAGCAATTGAGATCACCTTTTAATAGAGAAAAGTGAGTTATTTCATCTTCTTGCAGTCTCAAATGGGTAAACCCCCAAGGAATGTGCAGTCTTAGAGAAGAAGGTAAGAAATACTTCTTTTCTTTCCAGAAACGACCCCCAGTGCAAATGCTTTTCAACAGCTAATTTCACTGCTGAACAGTCAATAAGAGCTGCAAAGATTCAAAATTCTTTAAATAAACATATGATGTGCTTACAATGCAAGATCCCTTTATGCGTTGGGACCAAAGGTACACAGGGGCAATGTGCCTAATGATGAAAGACCAGTGAACGAATTGCTGAGAACAGACTTGGCAATTGTGGTTTGCCTCTTTTTTCATCATAATCTTGGCTGGAGAAGTTGGAGAAGCAAAGGTTATGGGTTCCCAATAAGTGTTGGCATTGCAGGGCACAGGCATCATGCAGCTCTTAATTGGAGGACCAAACACAAGCATTCTCTCCAGTGTCCAGACACAGAAAATGGGGCCTCTAACCTAGCAGTTCCTCATTTCCTGACCAAAATTGTATATTATTCAATATATTTTCTCTACTGTGCCTCAGCCTTTAGGATAAGTTCCAAATGTCTTAGGGTCATCATCTGTCTATTTTTAAAGACTTGCCAGCATTTCGAAATTCCAACTGAGATGTATTAAGTAGGTCTTGAGAAAGAAATCCACAATCATTAAGATGGAGAAGTGGGCAAAATATGAGATTTTATGAAAGGGGGCTTAAGGAAAAGATGCTCAGTGTTTTCTCTTTTTTAAAAAAGATTGTATCATGCAATAATTTTATCATTTTTACATTGCTCATTGTTCAAGAAGAACTTGTATCTTTCAGAATTTCCTATTCTATATTTTACCACATTTTTCATAAGTAAAAATTTTTCCCTTTGGAAAGAAAAGTTTATTATTTTTAGATAGAGGGAAATATCCACTATGAGTCTTTGGTCTTTGTAAGATATTAGACACATGGATTTAAAGCTGTCTAACAGAGACTCCTTAATTTGAATGTAAAACTCTTCTGAACATGACTTCTGCCCACTTTGACAGCCTTTCACACAACTCAGCAACGATATCAAAAGGTGATTTACCTTGTCTTACTCTCTTTCCCCTTTGGTCTTCGACATTCTTCTTTCTTCCTTTTTCATGGACAATTTCACTTCTATCTTCCAGATTCAGCTTATAGCAAGACTCAACTTGTGGTCATTATCTTTACTGTCTTCTTTGATCCTTCCTGGTTTGAATTAGGATGTCCTGACTTAGAAGCTTGTGAAGATCCTCAACCTAGCACCTCTGATACTGCTCTATCATTCACTGCCTGCTCTCCTGTTTATTTCCCTCATCAGTTGAAGAGCGCTCTCTTTGGAGAAGAATTAGGTGTTATTCACCTTTGTCAGCCCAGTATAGCACCCAGCAGAGCACATCACATGAACCCTGGAGTTTGAGACTAGCCTGGGAAACATAGCAAGATCCCATTTCTGCAAAAAAATTTAAAAAAATAGACAGGTTTGGTGGCATACTCCTGTAGTCTCAGTTACTCTGGAGGCTGAGGTAGGAGGATCACTTGAACCTGGGAGGTTGAGGCTGCAGTGAGCCATAATCACACACCACTGCACTCTAGTCTGGGCAACAGAGTGAGATCCTGTCTCAAAAAGAGTATTTTTAGAAGTTAATTGACCTGAGGTTCAGATCAGGAATTTAATTTCATGGACTGCACTTTTACCATGCTACTAGTTATGTCCTTTATAAAAGCAGTCTGAAATTAAGCACTTCTTAAAATTTTCCAAAGATAGATAAAAGATTCACATGTGAGAAATTGGATGAGTGTCTCTCTAGGGATGTTTTCAGTATTGACTAAATGTTTTGGAAAGATTCAAGGGCTATGATATATATGACATTATCATTGAAAGAAAAATATTCTGCAGACTTTTTTCCAGGGGGCTGATAGCCTCTAATATCCATTTTAGGCTTAAAAAGGTATGATATTATTCACATTAATTGATTAAAGTTACTTTGTGCCAACCTTGAATGAGTCACTATATGATGAAGAGAAGGCACAGCTTTCTCCTAATGGAGGCAAAAGAATCCCTTCTCCATTCTTTTAAAACCCTGCCAGCATAAAACTGGCACTGATTACTCGGCAGGAATAAATTTCCACATTGCCATGCCCAAAATAAGCATGTTGTTATTAACAGTTACTTACTAGGTGCCTATGCCCAATAGCCTCTGGGAACTAAATGAAAGATAATTAAAACTCTTAGATGAAAAAAATAGCAGTTTCTCAATTAATTTCATGAGAGATGTGGAGCATCCTCCACACCATCAGAGACTTCTCTGGACTCCACATCTGACTGTGATTCCCTGCTCAATTTATTCAGTTGTTCCTTTTGCCATCACATCACAAAAATGGACCTTCATAATTTGGCCCCTACCTGCCTCTCCCGAGTCATCATTCCCAACAAACAAATTCTGCTCCAGATGCTCCAAATCCCTCTTAATTCTAAATGTGCAGAAACATGCTCTTTCAGCACTTCCTGTTCTATAGTCATGGACTGTATTATCCACATCTCTGCCTTGGTAATTCCCACTATCTTCTGGGTTCCTCATCCTTTCTCTCCATCACCTAATCTAAATGATCAGAATTTCTCTTTGTGATAGCCTTCAAATGGTCTTCCCATAACTTACCTTCTTCCCAACTGTTTCATACATTATAGCAAGAATGATCTTTTCAAATCTATGTTACTCACTTTCTCATGGAAGACTTAGCAAGAATGATCTAAGAATGACTATTCTCTACACCATAGCAAGAATGATCTTTTCAAATCTAATCCTGTCACTCAGTTGTTGAAGACTCCAGTGAGTTTCAACAGCTCTAAAGATATAGGAAGAATCTTAATCAGAGCCTATGAGGTACCAAATGATCCTGCCACCTTTACCAGTTCACCGAATTCCCTTCTCCCACTGTCTCCTTGAGCTGTGACTGCGACCACAGCTTTATTTTCTCAAAATCTCTGTGCTCCTGCCCATCATGGTATATATTTATACATGTTGTTCCATTTTCACAAAAGATCCTTCCTCACCCACCACCTCTACCATTTTGATTAGATGACTCCTGTACATTATTTAAATATCAATCCCTTTGCCCAGCATATACACATCTACTAACTGGGTAATATCCCTTTGTCTAGGCTCTATTATCACCATATTCCTTTTTTTTTGTAAGCTCTTATTTAAAATTACATTTAATTATGAGATTGATTGATTATTATCTGCATCCCCCAGAGGGCTGCAAGCTTCATGAAACCCCATGACCATGCTGTTTTTATTAAAATTCCAAGAGACCAGGAAAGAATATTAATCTGCTGGTGAAGTCGCAGAATGGATTTGAGGTAAGAAATGTAAGATGAGAAGACCAAATCAAGAAACAGGAGATTTCACCATTAGCATATCAAGGTACACGTTACAAATAACATTTTGGAATCCCTATGACACTAAATCATCAGATAGGCAAGGTTGATTTTTGCCCCTTCTATTTGCAAGGTGGAAAAATATAGTTCACTCTATAGATTTCTTCTTTTTTGTTGTTTCCTTTGTTTTTGTTTTCTAGTTTAAAAAGAGTTTATTCCAGGGTGATTGTTGAAGATGGCCACTCAGGAGCGTAGATTCAAGTTGCTCTGATTATACACTCCAACTACCAGCCATTACAAGTGGGTTTTTTTAGGAAAAAAAC